>NC_000010.11:10000-161515 GCF_000001405.40 Homo sapiens | reverse complement strand
GGTGATGATGCCTGGGTTCAAATCATCAAAGGACAGGCTGACTCTTAATGCAGCTGGTAACATTAATTTGAAGCCAATGCTCATTTACCATTCTGAAAATCCTAGCGCCCTTAAGAATTATGCTATATCTACTCTGCCCGTGTTGTGTAGATGGAGCAACAAAGCCTACATGACAGCATGTCTGTTAACAGAATGGTTTACAGAATATTTTAATCTCACTGTTGAGACTTTCTGCTCAGAAAAATAGATTCCTTTCAAAATATTACTGCTCACTGGCAATCCACCTGGTTACCCCAGAGCTCTAATGGAGATGTACAGGGAGATTAGTGTTATTTTCATGTGGCTAACATGACATCCCTTCTGCAGCCCACTGATCAAGAAGTAATTTCAGCTGGGCGCAGTGGCTCACACCTGTAATCCCAGCACTTTGGGAGGCCGAGGCAGGAGGATCACTTGAGCCGAAGAGTTCAAGGCTGCAGTCAGCCCTGTTTGTGCCACTGCACTCCAGCCCAGGTGACAGAGCACGACCCTGTCTCAAAAAAAAAAAAAAAAAAAAAAAAAAAAAAGTAAGTAATTTCAACTTTCAGGTCTTATTAAAGAATACATTTCCTAAATCTAAAGCTAATATAGTGATTCCTCTGATGGATCCGGGCAAATTAACTCCAGATGTGGTGGAAATGGGAGGAGCCCTAGAATTAGAAGTCGAGCATGAAGATATAACTGAATTGCTATAATCTCAGGATAAAACTTTAATGAATGAGGAGCTGCTTCTTATGGATAAGCAAAGAAAGTAGTTTCTTGAGATGGAACCTAACCCTGATGAAGATGTTGTGAACATTGCTGAAATGACAACACAGGTTTCAGAATATTCCATAAACTTAGTTGATAAAGCAGCAGTAGGGTTGGAGACGAGTGACTCCAATTTTGAAAAGAGGTTCCACTATGGGTAAAATGCTACCAAACAGCATGACAAATGACAGAGAAATCTTTCATGAAAGGAAAAGCCAATCGATGTGGCAAACTTTATTGCTGTCCTTATTTTAAGGAACTGCCACAGACATCCCAACCTCCAGCAGCCACCACCCTAATCAGTCAGCAGCCATCAACATCAAGGCAAGACCCTCCACCAGCAAAAAGACCACAATTCCCTGAAGGCTCAGATGATTGTTAACATTTTTAGCAATAAAGTATTTTTTAATTAAGGTCTGTACATTTGTCTTGTTAGACATAACTGTTGTTGCACACTTAACAGACTATGGTAAAGTGTAAACATAACTTTTATCCATATTGGGAAGCCAAAAAAATTTGTGTAACTCACTTTGCTGTGATATTCACTTTGTTGTGGTGGTCTGGAACCAAACCCACAATATATCCAGGGTACGCCTGTATACATATCAGCTTCAAAGCCATCATTTTACTTAATGGAGAAATATTAGAAGATTTTGTGCTAAAATAAGGAAACAGTTAAGGATCCTCACTATATCCCTTCTTACTCAATACTGCTTTGGGGGTATTTACCAATGCAATTACATAAGAGAAGGCAATCAGAGGAATCAGAACTGGAAAAAAGAGGTAAAACATCTTCTATTTGCAGATGGCACCTATGATATGATTATATATCCAGAAAACTCAAAAGAATGAATGAAAAATACAATCAAAAATCAGAAAATCAAAATCAAGTATTAGATGAAAATATGAGTAGATTCCTTTAAAACCAAAGAGTAGAAACAAACAAGCAAACAAACACAAAACCCCAAAATAAGCAAAAGTAAACTCTTTGCACATCCCAAATACACGGTAAACAAAGTAAAAATATAAGTGACAAATTGAATAGGCAAAAGTGTAAGAAATATTTGCAACTTATAAATTCAGAGCTAATATCCCTAATATGTAAAGAACCTCTGAAATTTCAGAATACGCCCCAAAATCCAATTTAAAAAAATGAGCAAACGATATGGACAAGCAGAAAACACAAAAAGTAATGCAAAAGGCCTATAAATTTATTAAAAGATGCTTAATTTATCTCATCATTAGAGCAGAGCAATTTTTAGATTACATGTAATATATCATTTCTACTTATTAGACTAGCAAAACTCTAAAAGCCTGGCAATGTACTCTGCTCTACAGGCTGCAGGGAAATAGGGATTCTCATACGCTACTGGTGGGAACACAAAATGTCACCATCTCTAGAGAGGGGAACATGGCAATAATCACCAAAATTACATATACATTTACTCTTTGACCCACCAATCTCACTGGCAAAAATCACAAAATGATGTATACATAAAATCATTTATCATAGCCCTATCTGTAATAGTAAATCAATAAGGAACTGGCTGAATACGGTATGGGGCATCCATACAGTGGAGTACAGTCAGCTATTAAGAAAAAAAAAAAAAGAGGGATCATGTCAAAATGCAACTAAAGAAAAAATAAAGTGGACTTCAACATTAAAAAGTTTTGTGTTTCAAAGAACACCATTAAGTGAAAAGACAACCACATAATGTAAAAAAAAAAAAAAAAACAAAAAACAAAAAACCCTGCAAATCATATATCTGATAAAGAAGTTCTATTTGGAATAAAATTATTACAACAATAGAAATACAGATAACGCAATTAAAACATGGATAAAGGATCTGAACAGATGTTTCTCCAAAAAAGATACACAAATGGCCAGGCCAGTAAGTACATAAAAAGATGCTTAACATTAGTCATTACAGAAATGCAAATCAAAATCACAATGAGATGCTAGTTCATAACCACTAGGATGGCTTCAATCAAGAAATCATACAATAGGCTGGGTGCAGTGGCTCACGCCTGTAATGCCAGCACTTTAGGAGGCCGAAGAAGGCAGATCACTTGAGCCCAGGAGTTCAAGACCAGCCTGGCCAACATGGTGAAACCCCGTCTCTACAAAAAAAAAAAAAAAAAATTAGCTGGGTATGGTGGCAAACACCTATAGTCCCAGCTACTCAGGAGGCTGAAGTCAAGGATCACTTGAGCCCAGAAGCAAAGGCTGCAGTGAGCCAAGATCTCACCACTGTACTCCAACCTGGGTGACACAGCGAGACCCTGTGTCAAAATAAAAAAAAAAAAAAAAAAAGGAAAAGACAAAAAGGAATAATAGAATAATAGAAACTGGTACAATAATAGAAACCGGTGTTTTCATACATTGCTGGTGGTAATGTAAAATGGTGCAGCTGCTTTCAAAAACAGTATGGCAGTTCCTCAAAAAGAAAACATGGAGTTCCCAAATGACCCAGCAATTCCACTCCTACATATATACACGAAAGAACTGAAAACATACATCCACACAAAAACACGTACATGTACATCCACGCAGTATTACTGATATTAGCCTAAAAGTGGAAAAAACCCAAATGTCCATCAACTGATGAATGGATAAACAAAATGTGTTATATCCAATGGAATATCATTCATACAATGAAATGTTATTTGGCCGGAAAAAGGAATAAGGTACTGACACATGCTGCAACATGGATGAGCCTCGAAAACATTCTAAGTGAAAGCAGCCAGAAACAAAAGGCCACATATTATATGATTTCATTTACATGAAACGTCCAGAACAGACAAATACACAGAAAAACTGGAAGGTGCCCGGGGATCGGGTGAGAAGAAAAGGGAAATGGCTGCTATTGGATCTGGGGTTTCTTTTTGGGGTAGTGAAAATGCTCTGGAATTAGACGGTGGTAACGGCTACAATACCTTGTAAATACAGTAGAAACCACTGATTTGTATACTTTTTCTAAAAGTCACTGCAGCAAATTTACCTGTCACTTTGTTCAAGCAAGGAGTCAGCAGAGGACTATTTTTATAGCGTCTATTAAAATTATGAACTTACAAAGAATTACAAAGAATTTCCAAACCAGGATTCCTGATTTTTAAACATGTTGCCCCTTCCTTTCCTCGAGACCTCCCCCACCCTCTAGGAAAGTAGCTTACGTGTGCTTTCATTGTCATTACTGTTAATTTTTAACTTTTAAAAATAGCTATTATGCCAGGCGCAACGGCTCATGCCTGTCATCCCAGCACTTTGGGAGGCTGAGGCAGGTGGATCACTTGAGGTCAGGAGTTTGAGACCAGCCTGGCCAACATGGTGACACCCCGTCTCCACAAAAAATACAAACATTAGCCAAGTGTGGTGGCATGCACCTATAATCCAAGCCACTTGGAAGGCTGAGGCAGGAGAATCGCTTGAACCTGGGAGGCAGAGGTTGCAGTGAGCCGAGATTGCACCACTGCATTCCAGCCTGGGCGACAGAGCGAGACTCTGTCTCCAAAAATAAAAATTAAAAAAGCTATTACGGAAATTTTCAAATATACTAGAGAGAATTATATAAACCTTTTATGCTACAATTTAACATTTTACCATATTTTAAATCTAAATTATTTTCCTGAAATTGCCAAGTGCTAGGCATCAAAAGTTCACTATGGTATGCAGTAGCTTATCCATAAAAATAACTGCTTAAGTGTTAATTGTAAAATTCAGTTAAAAAAACAAACTTGACTCTTTCTAATACCCTCTTGTCTGCCATTAGAAATATCAAAGAACATAAGACAGCCTATACTGCCAATCCTCAAATACCAGTGAGGAGATCTGTGCCTAGATCATTGAAAATAGGTAAGTAATAGAAAGGTATTTTTTGTTTGTATTTTTAACGTAGCTCTTTTTTTGTGTTTTTATTAAATAAGTATTCAGAATCATGACCTGGATATGTATGAAAACTCAGACCAAACAACCTGAAATTCTCCACTCCACAAATATGTTACTTCTCAAGTGAATATAATCCACTAGTTTACTTCCAAATTTATGGTTCTCACATTATCTGAAGGTTAGGGAACTAGTTATTTTGTTTTGTTTTTACTTAATAAGGGCCTTTAAGCTAAAGTATATAACATCTTTGTGATTAGAACTTTAAAGCATATAGCATATTTATGCTAAGAAATTAATCACATGAACAGAAGAAAAAGGATCTACCATCCATGAGTTTGAGTTATGTGCTTTGTGTAAATAAAACACCAAAATACAGTAAGGTTTGATTTATCCTAATTTAAAAATACATTCTATAATTTTTCCAAGTAAGTGATTTAAGCATTAAAAATTTTCTTAAGATGTGATTGCAACTGTAACGTTTATTTGAAATGCCCATATCTGCTTAAACAGAGTATAAATAAACATGTTTTCTAACTCCCCAGGGTCATCATATGCAACAATACAGAAAAATCGACTCAGTTGCACAGGGGCTGCTTCTCTCTACAGCAGGTTCTCTCAACCTTGGAGCTATTTGAGGCCAATGGTTCTTGGTTGTGGGGCCATCCTGTGCATCATCAGATGTTCAGCAGCATCCCTGGCCTTTACCCAGTTGAAACCCATAGTATCCTCCAAGGCATGATGATCAAAATTGTCTCCACACAGAGACAAATAACCACTGCAGGGTAAAGTCCATCACACTTGAAAAATCCCTGCTGTAAATTAAATGGTCAGGCTTTTGCACTCATGTGCTTGAAATTTGTTGTTTTCTATCTCCTCCCTCAAGGTTTGCCACTCAATGGCCCAGTAACTGTATATAGGTTTCTCAAAGGATTCCCTTGTCCTTTTAGAACTGGTTTAAGTCTCTTGTACACCAAAATGTCAATACATCACCATGATGACAGCCAGTCTCCCAACGAGGACCTCTTTGGTTATGGTAAAAGAGGGTGGAAGTTCCCCTCTGAATAAAGGCAAGAGTTTTTAAATTATAAATATTATGGCTAATAGTTAATCTTTTTAGATTTTTGGTCTTTTTTAAATCTTGGCCAAAACCAGAAGTGCAAAAATCATACCATGTCTTAATTTGCTTTTTAAAAAATTACTAGCGAAGCCAAACATCATTTCAAGCAAAACCTTTTTCGTGTGTTTGTAGCTCTTCTTTAGAAAAGTACCACTTGTGTTCCCACTGTATTGTTCGCGATTTTCTTAATGATTCTTCAAAATTCCTTTTTTTGTTTCTCATTGTTGTTGCTGTTTTGGTAGAGATGGGGTCTCACTATATTGCCCAGGCTGGTCTCAAACTACTGGCCTCAAGAGATCCTCCTGCTTTGGTCTCCCAAAGTGCTGGGATTACAGGTGTGGGCCACCATACCCAGCCAAAAATTCTTTATATACCATAAGAATATTATCCTTTGGGTTATCATCTATGTTGCCAATACAGTTCCAGTTCCCTTCTTTGTTAACAACAGGGTTTTTCATTTTTAAATTGTATGTAGTCAAATTTCTCCATCTTTTCCTTCAAGATTTTTACGTACACTTTTCTCAACCTAAAATTTTAAAGCTACGTACCAAAAAAGTACCTTTTTCAGCATAAAAATCTGAATTTCTTTTTAACCATATGAGATGCTTTCTGAAAATAAATAAACAAATAAAATAAAAAGCCAAAGCCAAAAGCCAAACACTGATTCTTCTTTTAAAGTCATATACACCAGGAGCATATCATATACTAAGCCACTACTGCCTAGCTTGGAAAGAGAGAGAAAATTACATGGAAAAAAAGATGTCCAATTAATAGAATATAAAATACGGTCATATCACCCTGAACACACCTGATCTCACCTGATCTTGGAAGCTAAGCAGGATTGGGCCTGGTGAGTACTTGGATGGGAGAGAAAATAAGAGAAATTTTCTTATATTTCATTTGTAGCCATGAAATTCAGTACAAAATTGATTTTTAAATGAGATATTAAAAGATGTGAAAATCTTTTCATCTTTATATCTATTAAAATCTTTACATCTATTAAAAGATATAAAAATCCTGATATAGAAAAGCTGTAGCTATTTTACCTACATCGATTCTCATTATTTGCAGGTTATGTATTTGCAAATGTTCCTACCTGCTAAAATTATTTGTAATCCCAAAATCAACCCTCATGGTGTTCTGACATCATATGACCTCAGACATGCATGGAGCAGCTGAAAACTGAGTCATTCAGCATGCACACTCCCAGCTGGGGCCTCCGTGACCATGCTCTGCCTTCTTGTTTCAATTCTCATACTGTAATAACAGGCATCCGTCTCGACATCTATGACACCAGGTTTTTTGCTTTTTTCTGCTTTTTGTTGTGATTTTGCCGTTTATGGTGGCCCCCAAGTGTAATGCTGAAGTGCTAGTGTTCCTAAGTGCAAGAAGGCTGTGATGTGCCTTACAGAGACACTATAACACCATACATGTGTATGTATTAGACGAGCTTTTGTTCAGGTATGAATTATAGTGCTACTGGCCTTGAGTTCAATGTCAATGATTCAACAATATGATATATCCAGAAAAATGAAGAGAAAATGTGCTAATCTGTGTATGAGGCCATTCCCAAAAGTGCTACAGTAACATCTATAGCATGTGATGAAGTTATAGAAAAGTGGCTAACTTTGTGGATTCATGGGATGACGATCAATTAAACAGTAAGTGTGGTGAACAGCAATGTTGTGAAGCTGAAAGCCAAAGAAATTCATGGTCTCTTTACACAGGGTCAGGAAAACGTTAAACCCTTCTTGGCTAGTGCTGGCTGTCTCATGTTCAAAAGGTGATATGGCATGAAACCGTTAAATTTGAAGGCAAGGCAGCTTCTGCAGATCAGGAGGCTGCAAAAGAAATTTTTTAATATTTGCTAAAGGTTACACAGGGAATGGGTTATGTGGAAGAAACTGGCTTGTTTTACAACGACACTGGCAAATAAACCCATCTAATGCAAATGGCACTTTGGTTTATAAAAGTGTTGTGACCAGAGGCTCACAGGGACCAAACTCTATTTCCCCTAGGACAACAGGTCAGCATTCATCAATTCACTGCATAACTATGATGAATAATGAGACTCAAATATAATAAAGTATGTAATCTTTGCTTTTTAAATGCTTTGAATTGCCATTTCTATAACATACAATAAACATTCTGTAGATGTTACTGATATAAATAGAATGTATGCCAATAAAAGAGGTAAATTTAAAAAAGAAAAGGAAACTCTTCGTTATATTTCTAGTTTGAGACAGCCAACTTTGAGTAATTACCAGCATGGTAGATCAGGGATTACTGTGATCCTGTCATCTGCTATAATATTTCCTAACAAGTTAATTACAATGACACAATCACTGTCTACTAGGAACTTAAAAATTGAAGAAACAGATGATATGTTAACATTTTTATTAATATTCATTTTAATTGGTTATTCAATTATATAGGAATCACACTAGTCCATGCTAAATTTAACGAGAATGTTTCATTTCTCAAATTTTTTGAGAGATTTGTCATAATTTGTAGGTTGTATAACAGTAGACTTCATATCTGATAAAAATAGCAAATAACAATTCTGTACTTCAAAACTGGTGGAATGTGAATTACCTAGAGAACATATCAGTACATCAGTACCACGGCTAAAGGTATTCAAGGGCAGAGAGACAATAGGAATTTTCAATCTGTTCCAATACAAACAGCTTACACCAAAAGTTACACATCTTGCTTAATAAAGGAATGAATTTACTTCTGCCTTCATTTCGCTATGTACCCAGTAGTCATTCAGGAGCAGGTTGTTCAGTTTCCATGTAGTTGAGCGGTTTTGAGTGAGTTCTTAATCCTGAGTTCTAGTTTGATTGCACTGTGGTCTGAGAGACAGTTTGTTATAATTTCTGTTCTTTTACATTTGCTGAGGAGTGCTTTACTTCCAACTATGTGGTCAATTTTGGAATAAGTGCAACGTGGTGCTGAGAAGAATGCATATTCTGTTGATTTGGGGTGGAGAGTTCTGTAGATGTCTAGTAGGTCCGCTTGGTGCAGAGCTGAGTTCAATTCCTGGATATCCTTGTTGACTTTCTGTTTCATTGATATGTCTAATGTTGACACTGGGGTGTTAAAGTCTCCCATTATTATTGTGCGGGAGTGTAAGCCTTTTTGTAGGTCTCTAAGGACTTGCTTTATGAATCTGGGTGCTCCTGTATTGGGTGCATATATATTTAGGATAGTTAGCTCTTCTTGTTGAATTGATCCCTTTACCAATATGTAATGGCTTTGTCTCTTTTGATTTTTGTTGGTTTAAGGTCTGTTTTATCAGAGACTAGGATTGCAACCCCTGCCTTTTTCTGTTTTCCATTTGCTTGGTAGATCTTCCTCCATCCCTTTATTTTGAGCCTATGTGTGTCTCTGCACATGAGATGGGTCTCCTGAATATAGCACACTGATGGGTCTCGACTCTTTATCCAATTTGCCAGTCTGTGTCTTTTAATTGGAGCATTTAGCCCATTTACACTTAAAGTTCATATTGTTAGGAGTGAACTTGATCCTGTCATTATGATGTTAGCTGGTTATTTTGCTTATTAGTTAATGCAGTTTCTTCCTAGCATTGATGGTCTTTACAATTTGGCATGTTTTTGCAGTGACTGGTACCAGTTGTTCCTTTCCATGTTTAGTGCTTCCTTCAGGAGCTCTTGTAGGGCAGGCCTGGTGGTGACAAAATCTCTCAGCATTTGCTTGTGTGTAAAGGATTTTATTTCTTCTTCACTTATGAAGCTTAGTTTGGCTGGATATGAAATTCTGGGTTGAAACCTCTTTTCTTCATGAATGTTGAATATTGGTCCCCACTCTCTTCTGGCTTGTAGAGTTTCTGCCAAGAGATCAGCTGTTAGTCTGATGGGCTTCCCTTTGTGGGTAACCCAACCTTTCTCATTGGCTGCCCTTAACATCTTTTCCTTCATTTCAACTTTGGTGAATCTGACAATTATGTGTCTCGGAGTTGCTCTTCTCCAGGAGTATCTTTGTGGCATTCTCTGTATTTCCTGAATCTGAATGTTGGCCTGCCTTGCTAGGTTGGGGAAGCTCTCCTGGATAATATCCTGCAGAGTGTTTTCCAACTTGGTTCCATTCTCCCCGTGACTTTCAGGTACGCCAATCAGACGTAGATTTGGTCTTTTCACATAGTCCCATATTTCTCGAAGACTTTGCTCATTTCTTTTTACTCTCTTTTCTCTAAACTCCTCTTGTGGATTTATTTCATTCATTTGATCTTCCATCACTGATACCCTTTCTTCCAGTTGATTGAATTGGCTACTGAAGCTTGTGCATTCGTCACGTAGTTCTCATGCGATGGTTTTCAGCTCCATCAGGTCATTTAAAGACTTCTCTACACTGGTTATTCTAGTTAGCCATCCGTCTAATCTTTTTTCAAGGTTTTTAGCTTCTTTGCGATGGGTTCGAACTTCCTCCTTTAGCTTGGAGAAGTTTGATCGTCTGAAGCCTTCTTCTCTCAACTCGTGAAAGTCATTCCCATCCAGCTTTGTTCTGTCGCTGGTGAGGACTGCGTTCCTTTGGAGGGGGAGAGGTGCTCTGATTTTTAGAATTTTGAGCTTTTCTGCTCTGTTTTTTCCCCATCTTTGAGGTTTTATGTACCTTTGGTCTTTGATGATGGTGACGTACAGATGGGGTTTTGGTGTGGATGTCCTTTCTGTTTGTTAGTTTTCCTTCTAACGGTCAGGACCCTCAGCTGCAGGTCTGTTGGAGTTTGCTGGAGGTCCACTCCAGACCCTGTTTGCCTGGGTATCAGCAGCAGAGGCTGCAGAACAGCAAATGTTGCTGCCTGATCGTTCCTCTAGAAGCTTTGTCTTAGAGGGGTACCCAGCCATGTGAGGTGTCAGTCTGCCCCTGCTGGGGGGTGCCTCCCAGTTTGGCTACTTGGGAGTTAGGGACCCACTTGAGGAGGCAGTCTGTCCGTTCTCAGATCTCAAACTCCGTGCTGGGAGAACCACTACTCTCTTCAAAGCTGTCAGACAGGGACATTTAAGTGTGCAGACGTTTCTGTTGCCTTTTGTTCGGCTATGCCCTGCCCCCAGAGGTGGTCTACAGAGGCAGGCAGGCCTCCTTGAGCTGCAGTGGGCTCCACCCAGTTCGAGCCTCCAGGCCACTTTGTTTACCTACTCAAGCCTCAGCAATGGCCATCAATAAAATTGATAGGCCGCTAGCAAGACTAATAAAGAAGAAAAAAGAGAAGAATCAAATAGACGCAATTAAAAATGATAAAGGGGATATCACCACTGATCCCACAGAAATACAAACTACCATCAGAGAATACTATAAACACTTCTACGCAAATAAACTAGAAAATCTAGAAGAAATGGATAAATTCCTGGACACATACACCCGCCCAAGACTAAACCAGGAAGAAGCTGAATCCCTGAATAGACCAATAACAGGCTCTGAAATTGAGGCAATAATTAATAGCTTACCAACCAAAAAAAGTCCAGGACCAGACGGATTCACAGCCAAATTCTACCAGAAGTACAAGGAGGAGCTGGTACCACTCCTTCTGAAACTATTCCAATCAATACAAAAAGAGGGAATCCTCCCTAACTCATTTTATGAGGCCAGCATCATCCTGATACCAACGCCTGGCAGAGACACAACAAAAAAAGAGAATTTTAGACCAATATCCCTGATGAACATTGATGCAAAAATCCTCAATAAAATACTGGCAAACCGAATCCAGCAGCACATCGAAAAGCTTATCCACCATGATCAAGTGGGCTTCATCCCTGGGATGCAAGGTTGGTTCAACATACACAAATCAATAAACGTAATCCAGCATATAAACAGAACCAAAGACAAAAACCACTCTATCTGAGGAGCAGGGTTCCATTAAAAAGGAAGAGAAAGAAGTGTTGAAATAATGTACTTCATTAGACTCTGTTTCAGCCTTTCTTCTCCACTCCCACAACAGAATAATTGCCCTTCTCCTAAGTGATACAATGTCTATTTAAAGTGTGAGACTGGATAAAGTATAAAATTAGTGCCCATTTATACTAAAACATACCCACAATTTAATATGCAAATATTATTAACAGTACATGTATTAAGTATTTACTATTGTGTTGTTCTTTCAAAAGCAAACTACATTTAAAAAATAATAATACATTTTGGGAGGCTGAGGTGGGTGGATCACGAGGTCAGGAGATCGAGACCATCCTGGCTAACCCGGTGAAACCCCGTCTCTACTAAAAATACAAAAAATTAGCCAGGCATGGTGGTAGGCGCCTGTAGTCTCAGCTACTTGGGAGGCTGATGCAGGAGAATGGCGTGAACCCAGGAGGCGGAGCTTGCAGTGAGCCAAGATCGCGCCACTGCACTCCAGCCTGGGCGACAGAGCGAGACTGGTCTGAAAAATAATAATAATAATAATAATAATAATAATAATAATAATAACAACCACCTCAGTGTTCTGCCTCACAGCAATTCCCAGGCCACAGTGCAGGGATGGAGATCCAAAGGGAGTGTGTGGTCTCACTGAGCTGAGGAGAATGAGATCAGAGACTGGAGTGGGCAAGTTTCGGTTCAGCCTTTCTTTTTAGAAAATTCGTATTTTTCAAAGTCAATTACTTGCCATGAGTCAGACATCGGATCCTCTTCCCTCCCTATTATTTACAATGTTTAGGGTAACCATCTAACATTTCCTACTCTATTCTTCAAGTTCAAATTTCATAAAACTATTCTCTTTAAAATGCAATTCTAACTCAGCAGCAATTAATATAATTCTTGAATGTATCTGGTAATTTAAAACTGACAAAATTATGTATATTTAAGAAAATTTGACTTAGCACACTTTAAAAACACAGACGTTGTATGTTATCACCTAAGGTCTAACCCGGAAGACAGTAAGGACACTGACAGCAGTGGAAAATCAATGGTGGATGAGGCTGTGCTGTCCCGTGAGAAGAGCAAACGAAGAGCCCTGATGGGGCCCTGGTGAGCACCCTGTCAACAGTCAGCACCAAGCCCAGGGAGGCTTACCTGGTCACTCCCTAAAATTCCACCTGCCATGCATCTTGGCCTTTGTGGAATCAGTGAAGAATTATGAACACTATGTTAAAGAGAAAATAAACCTGTGGAAATTATCAGGCACTGCCTAGGTACTGGGATACCTGTGAAGCCTCAAAACACTAGTGTGAGTAATAAAATTACTAAGGAGTGAATGCAAATATTGGACGGTAGGGGTTGGAGCCACAGTGAGTCTTACACCTCAAGGACTTCTTCCCTGAGCAAAGGAAGTTAGGACTTCTTCCCAGAGCAAAGGAAGTTAAGACTTCTTCCCAGAGCAAAGGAAGTTAGGACTTCTTCCCAGAGCAAAGGAAGTTAGGACTTCTTCCCAGAGCAAAGGAAGTTAGGACTTCTTCCCAGAGCAAAGGAAGTTAGGACTTCTTCCCAGAGCAAAGGAAGTTAGGACTTCTTCCCAGAGCAAAGGAAGTTAGGACTTCTTCCCAGAGCAAAGGAAGTTAGGACACTCAGTTTAAAGACTCTAATCTACTCCTGTAGACTGCCAAACCTGTAGAACCACCTGTACATGGAAATATTACCCCCAGCCTGGAGGAATACCAATAATCACCTGAAATCCAGATAAACACCAGGGATAAAGAGGAGGCTAGCCAGAGACCTAGGCAGAGCCTGAAAAACTTTCTCAGGTGGTCTCACTATTGACTGAAGACATAACCCCAGGACGGTTGATCTGACTGCCCCAGGGAAAGACATTCAAGTTTTTCTGATGCCTATCAGGATTAGGAGACATCCTGGAGAGCTGACTACAGGACAGGCAGAACACTTTTGTATTGCTGCTTTTCAAATTACCAGAATGCCCAGACATTCAAACTGGATGGCAACCCATATCCTGACTATAACGTATCTCAAGATCTGATGTGCATTTACCTGTGATTATAGTTATATCTGTGACCATCAGGGAATATCAACCAATGATACCTTCGATATCCATCTTCCCTGGCAATACAGTAGCGTGTTTGAGGAATCCAAAAAGATTTAACGCTTTCATCTAGGATGCATTTACTTTTCAGGTTATTTTAATTATCCTCTTTTTAAGGGAACTTCATGGATCTGATTCTTGAAAGAGAATTTCTGAGGCTTGGAACTAAAAATCCTAGGGTATGACATTTCATATAAGCTATTCCAAAAAAAAAAATTTAAAAAGGCACATATACCTCTGCCCACTTCAAAAAATAAAAATTTGAAGCTTGAAAAGCTAAAATAAAACTGTTTACTTTTAAAAAGTAGAGCTCAATAGGAGGAACATACCTCAAAATATGAAAAGCCATCTATGACAAACCCAGAGCCAACATACTGAATGGGGAAAAGTTGAAAGCATTCCCCCTAAGAACTGGAACAAGACAAGGATACCTACTTTCAACACTTCTATTCAACACAGTACTGGAAGTCCTAGTCAGAGTAATCTGACAAGAAAAAGAAATAAAGGGCATCCAAATTGGAAAAGAGAAAGTCAAACTATCTGTTTGCCAATGATATGCTCATATACCTAGAAAACCCTAAAGACTCTTCCAGAAGAATCCTAGATTTGATAAATGAATTCAGTAAAGTCTCATGCTACAGAATCAATGTACACAAATTGGTAGTGCTGCTATATACCAACAACGACCAAGCTGAGTGTATTAGTCCATTCTCACACTGCTAAGAAAGACATACTCGAGACTGGGTAATTTATAAAGAAAGAGAGGTTTAATGAACTCACAGTTCCACATGGCTGGGGAGACCTCACAATCATGGCAGAAGCCAAAGGAGGAGCAAAGGCATGTCTTACATGCTGGCAGGCAGGAGAACCTGTGCAGGTGAACTGCCCTTTATAAAACCATCAGATCTTGTGAGACTTATTCACTATGATGAGAACAGCATGGGGAAAACCCACCACCATGATTCAATTATCTCCCACTGGGTCCCTCCCACAACATGTGGGGATTATGGGAGCTACAATTCAAGATGAGATTTTCGGAGGGGACATGGCCAAACCATATCACTAAGAAATCAAATCAAGAACTCAATCCCTTTTATGATAGCTGCAAAAACAAAACAACACAACAACAAAACCCTAGGAGTATATGAACAGAGGAGGTGAAAGATTGCTACAAGGAGAACCACAAAACACTACTGAAAGAAATCACAGATGATACAAACAAATGGAAATACATCCCATGTTCATGGATTGGAAAAATCGATATTGTGAAAACAACCATGCTGCCCAAAACACTCTATAGATTCAATGCAATTCCTATCAAAATACGAACATCGCTTCAATAGAAATAGAGAAAAATCCTAAAATTCTTATGGAATCAAAAAATGGCTCAAATAGCCAAAGCAATCCTATGCAAAAGAACTAATCTGGAGGCATCACATTACCTGACTTTATACTACAAGGCTATAGTAAGCAAAACAGCATGGTACTGATATAAAAGTAGACACACAGAATGGAAAAGAATAGAGAACCTAGAAATAAGGCCAAATACTTACAACCAACTGATCCTTGACAAAGCATACAGAAACAAAATTGGGGAAAGGACACATTATCTAATAAATGGTACTGGGAAAACTGGATAGCCATACGTAGAAGAATGAAACTGGATCCCTAGCTCCCACCTTATACAAAAATCAACTCAAGATGGATTAAATACTTAAATCTAAAACCAAAAACCATAAAAATTCTAGAAGAAACCATAGGAAAAACCCTTCTGGACAATGGTCTAGACAAAGAATTTATGACTAAGACCCCAAAAGCAAATGCCACAAAAACAAAAGTAAATAAGACCTAATTAAACTAAAAATCTTCTGCACAGCAAAGAAAATAATCATCAGATTAAACAACCCACAAAATGGGAGAAAATATTTGGAAACTATGCATCTGACAAAGGACTGGTATCCAGAATCTACAGGGAACTCAAATCAGCAAGAAAAAAAATCCCATCAAAAAGCGGACAAATGACATGAATAGACACTTCTCAAAGAAAGATATACAAATAACCAACAAACACGTAAGAAAATGCTAAATATGACTAATCATCAGGGAAATGCAAATTAAAACCACAGTGAGGTACCACCTTACCCCCACCAGAATGGTGACTATCAGAAAGTCAAAAACCAATAGGTGTTGGCATGGATGCGGAGAAAAGAGAATGCTTACGAGAATGTATAGTAATGTAAATTAGTACAACCTCTACAGAAAACGGCACGGACGTTCCTTTAAGTACTAAAAGTAAATCTACCATTTGATCCAGCAATCCCACTGCTGGGCATCTACCCACAGGAAAAGAAGTCATTACATCAAAAAGACACCTGCGTGCATATGTTTATTGTGGCACAATTCACAATTGCAAAGATACGGAACCAACCTAAGTGCCCATCAACCAATAAATGGAAAAAGAAAAAGTGATATATATATACATATATATATATACATACACACACATATATATACACACATATATACATATATATACACACACATATGTATATACACATATATACACATATATATACACACACATATATATATACACATATATATATGGAATACTCTCAGCCATAAAAGAAAATAAATAAAATAACGTCTTTTGCAGAAACCTGAATGAAGCTAGAGGCCATTATTCTAAATGAAATAACTCAGGAATGGAAAACCAAATACTGCATGTTCTCACTTGTGAGAACTAAGCTATGGGTACACAAAGGCATACACAGTAGTATCATGAACACTGGAGACTCAGAATGGGGAAGAGTGGAAGAGGAGTAAGAAATTTTAAAAATCTCTTTAATATTTAATATTTTAAAAATATTGGGTACAATGTACACTACTCAGGTGATGGGTGCACTAAAATCTCATACTTCACCACTATGCAATTTATCCATGTAACCAAAAACCACTTGTACCCAAAGCTAATGAAATGTGTATGCATATATATATTATATATATATTTTATATGTAGAAATAAAAAATTAGAGCCCAGACTCAACCCCTGAGATTCTGATTTAATGTTTTTGTTAAAAAAAAAAAAAAAAAAAAAAAGGAATTCAGACGCTCAGCCAGCCATAACTGAGAACCACTATGCTAAATTACTCCTGGTTCCTAATGTGAGTTGTGTAACACTGTCATCTAAAATTCTAAACAGTTTATTTTAAAAAATAGGCCAGGCAAGGTGGCTCACATCTGTAATCCCAACACTTTGGGAGGCCGTGATGGGCAGAACACTTGAGCCTAGGTGTTCGAGATGATCCTGGGCAACATGGCAAAACTCTCCCCTCTGCCAAAAAAATACAAAAATTAGCCAGGTGTGGTGGCATGCGCCTATAGTCCCAGCTACTCAAGAAGTTGAGGCAGGAGGATGGCCTGACCCCAGGAAATCAAGGCTGCAGTGAGCAGTTATGGTGCTACTGCACTCCAGCCTGGGCAACAGAGCAAGATTCTGTCGTAAAAAACAAAAATTAAAATAAATAAATGAGGTACAAATACTACTGCAATGATAGTAAATTTTTCCTCAGCATGAGCAGAGAGAAAGTCTAACTTTAAATTGTACTGCTGGCTGTTCAGCTTTTAATTCATTTGAAAATAACTAAGACTAAAATTATTTTTATTTGAATAGTCCTTAAAATATTAAAAAAAAACTTTCAAATGATTCAAATGGCAGTTTTTTTTTTTTTTAATTGAGGCAGGGTCTTGCTCTGTGGCCCAGGCTGTAGTGCAGTGGCATGATCTCCGCTCACTGCAACCTCTGCCTCCTGGGCTCAAGTGATCTGCCCGCCTCGGCCTCCCAAAGTGTTGTGATGACAGGCGTGAGCTACCTGACCCTGCCTCAAATGGCAGTTTCTTACCTGAAACAATCCAACATGAATATTGATCACAAGTGAAAGGCTTCGTAAAGTTATAACTGTAGAACATATACGTGCAGACTGGTAAAATAAGTATTGTGAAATAAAAGATCTCTGGTACTTTAATATTAAATTTGATATTTCTAAACATACAAGCAAATGCCAAATTGTAAGTACAGTAGAAAAAAATACTGTAGACTTATATCCTCTATAATTTAAAAAGACAACATCTCTAATGGTAAATAACCTCCTCTCAAAACCTATTAAATATGACATCAATGGAAAGCCCAAATAAATTTTTCTCATTTTTTTTGTATTGCAAGAACTGGGCAGTGAAAGTAGGTATATTTTATATTAATTGAGGAAGGGCTCCATGTCAAAATTCAATAGAAAATTAAGGACCTGCTCTCTAAAACAGCATTTCTCAGACATACTTTCGAGATAGAAAAACAAGCAAGAGGCAGATAAATCAAGAATCTACAAGAGAAAACTAAAAAATTCATAATAGCTTTCAAAAGTTGCGAGAGCTTCCCCCATGCCTAGCCCTCAATTATCCCGTTGCAGCATCACTGCTGAGTGTCAGGATGATCTCAATCTGTGGGTGCTACAACTCGATTATTTCTCTCTTTACCATACGCTTCTCACAAAATGGTATTATTTTATGTTAGATGACGGCACACCCAGTGGAATGCTGAAGCCTTAGCATTTAATACAGCTTTCCAGAAATTAGCTCTCTGAATCCAAATTGAACTTACACAAGATTCCTCAAGACAATGACTTCCCTTTCCAAGACAGCAAGAATACTTTAGTGTTGGTGTTAATTCCAAATATTTTCAAACAATTTTCACCATTATGTGAGTATTAAAATGAAGACCTGCAGGTGCCCCGCCTCCAGTGCTCCTGCCCCTGAACCAAGTTATCTTCCTAATGTGAGCTACCATAGTGACAGCAAGAAAATGAACCAATTATCTATGCTTGTTCTCAGATTACTACCTGTCATTACCGGTGAGTTGGCATTAACCAGAACTTCATAGATAGAATGTTTTGATTGCCCAGAGTTTCCTAATACTCCTGTCTTTCTACCTCCTGCTTTTATAAGCAGAGTGGGCATAGTTTTACACTTTGTTAATATTACGTACTTTTGCAGACTTATAAAAGTGCATTGGGAAAATGAAGGAATATCACTGTAAAGATTTAAGAAGTTTATGGGTTTTAGGGAGACAGAGTAGCATAGCAGGTTACAGGTGTGGTAGTCATACATTGGAATTCAGACCAATTTGATTATGTCTCTATGACCTTGGGCACCAGTAACTTAACCCTTCTAAGTCTATTCCCTCATTATAAATTGTTACAATGACACATCCCTCATGACGCCTCTGTGAGGACTAAATGGGATATGCGAATTGCCTAGTATGTGAGATGCTCAAAAAGTGACACCTTTAAAAAAACAGGCTGGGCAAGGTGGGTCACACCTCTAATCTTAACACTTTGAGAACGAGTCAGGTGGTTCGCTTGAGCTCAGGAGTTTGGGACCAGCGTGGGTAACATGGTGAAACCCCATCACTACAAAAAATTAGCCAGGCATGGTGGCACAGACCTATAGTTCTAGCTCCTGGGGAGGCTGAGGTGTGAGGATCACTTGAGCCCAGGAAGTGGAGGTGGCAGTGACCAGAGTTCTCGCCACTGTGCTCCCTACAGAATGAGACCCTGTCTAAAAGCAAAACAAAACACAAATAACACAAATGGTGCTGCCACAAACAACTCTCATGATTAAACCCAGCTTCCTAAAAACTGCTTACAAAGTAGACTCATAAAGCGACCTAATGTGTACAGCCAAATTAAAATGTATACAAATCAGATTGTCTTGCTATAAACCAAAATATCTTCCCAATTTTTAAAAATAGCCTTTTTAACCCGAGTTATGAGAGCTAATATTGTATGACAAGCTCTCAACAGAAATCCTTTGAATTTTTTAATATCTTTCATGTTCACATGATAAATGTTTAAACTAGGAATGAAGATCCTTTGCTCTTAACCTATATTTTAAATTAACATAACATGCAGACCAAACCTCAGAGAACAAAAAACTAAAAATTTAAATTGGATCTACCTTTCATTTAAATGCTCAGATAATATCTGGAGAACACAATATATGTTTGATATTTAATACAGCTCTACTTTTCAACAGAGTACTTTAAAAGTTACCAATCATAATAAAGTTGCTTTAAAAACCCTCAGGTTGTTAATATAGTAAAATCTCAAAGTTACAAATTGGGATAAATTTTAAATCATCAGTGCTAAGACTTTGCAAGTAATCTTAACACAAATACGACTTATCTTAATTCATACAGTGTCCTACAGTACCCAGGTCGGAGTGCAGTAGCTGATTTAGCTCACTGTAGCCTCAAACTCCTGGGCTCAAGCAGTCCTCTTGCCTTTACATTTTATTGTGCTTGCTTCAGTAAATGTGTTACTCTGAACTGAAAACTCTACAATGGCAAGAACCCTCCCTCATCTTGCTCGCCTCGGCATCTAAGATATGGCACATACCAGAGTTTCGATAAATAACAATGTATTAATAAATGGGGTCAAGATATTAAAATTGCATATATTCTCCTTATATGAAAATAGACAATATTTTAGTGTGATCTTATGAAACAAATTATGAAGTAACTTGAACTATAAACACACTGATGTAAAACTAGTTTACCTACTATACCTAAATATTAAGTTTACAGAAAAATGAAAATACTGTGTGTATTTCAGCGAAACACATTTTCCAATTAATGTGTAAGCTAATGTGGTCTGTAAACATATCCCTCTCATCTCTGAAAAACAAACAGATCGAAGAGTCCATATGATTCCTTTAAAACTCTGATACAGTAGTATTCTATTACTTTTGTCATTTCTACTTCTTTAGTTTTACATAAAAGTGGGCAAACTTTTAGACATTTATGAAGCAAACACTCTGGACATTTGCAGATGTTACCAACATTAAATGAAATGTGCCACATACTCAATGCAACTGTAACTTCACAATTACCTAATAGTGTGAATAGCTTAAGTATGTGCACGTAAGGGTATTTCTACTTCTATCTGATTGAACACATTTTAAAAGAATTTACCCAGCACTTTAATTATGAAAATATTTTCCAATGTGCTAAATTCTCTTTAAAAGAAACCTGAGATAAAAATCAGGAAATTACTGCTGAACAGGAAAAATATATATGCAATGAAAGATTAAATATCTAATTAGGTTATTTTTTGAATTGAGTTAAATATTTATGTCTAATAATTTGCCAAATTTCTCTCCTAAGACCTAATAATGGATAACACAAACACTAAAAATATTTTTTATTTTACAGATTTCTTTGCATTTGCAAATAATTTTGATACTAAAACTTGTATAGCATTTCCATGATACAAACTAAATAACTCTATGGATTTTCTAATGGAAAAACAGTAACAGCAGGTGCCCACACACAAATCTTTCCTTAAGCAATAAATCATTTCTGCATATGTTTTTAAAACCACAGCTAAGCCATGATTATTCAAAAGGACTATTGTATTGGGTATTTTGATTTGGGTTCTTATCTCCCTCACATTATCTTCATTTCTATCATTGACCTCTTATCCCAGAGACTCTCAAACTTTTATGTTATACAAATCACATTCTGTCTCAAAAAATATCTCACCCACTTCTCTTCTGTTTCTGCGTGTGTATGTGTGTGTGTGTGTGTCTGGGATAGGATGCAATTATAAGAGTGTGCTACAAGGTGAACTTTCCATAATTAAAAGGAAGACTGACTGCTATGCTTTTAAGATGACAATGTGTGGCCAGGCACGGTGGCTCATGCCTGTAATCCCTGCACTTTGGGAGGCCAAGATGGGCAGATCACCTACACGTTTGAGAAGAGCCTGGCCAACATGGCAAAACCCCAACTCTACTAAAAATACAAAAATTAGCCAGGCGTGGTGGCTCCTGCCTGTAGTCCCAGCTACTTGGCAGGCTAAGGCATGAGAATCACTTGAACCCAGGAGGTGGAGGTTGTAGTGAGCCAAGATGGCACCACTGCACTCCAGCCTGGGCAACAGAGCAAGACCCTATCTCCAAAAAAAAAAAAAAAAAAAAAAAAGGACCATGTGTAAGTTTAAGTTGGACAGTGTACGTGTAAGTAACTTTGCACAGTGGCTGATATACAGTAGACAGACAATACATGATATATTATTATTATGGTCCTCATTTATGTTATAAAATTGTAGCTACTAAACATTTCAAAAGTGGAGACTAAGAGAAGACAAAACACTGAAAACCTGATGAACAACCTCCAGGTCACTAACATCTGCACAAATCACTGTATCAAAGCAGATTTACATTTGTTTTGAAAACTTGATAATGGCACTGCAAGTAACTGAAAGTATGTAAGAGATATTGGTAGAAATAAACTCACATATGCTGAATTCCTAGTAGAAATGTTGGTGAGGGTTTAATGAAGATCTAATGAAGAGAAAACACCAGTTTTCCTTTATTCAGAAAGTCTATCTGCTTCAAGGAAATATAGAAAATGCAACCTGAAGCAGTTATGGACAGAGTGCCAGATATGAAAAACAGAAAAATATTAACATAAAACCAATGGTTAAAATAAGAACTCTCACACTGTGTATTTTAGTTATTTGTATTATTCAAATGAATTAAAATAGATGAATAATAATATCATTCATCAAAGTAATGATAGGCCAGGCACAGTGGCTCATGCCTATAGTCCCAGCGCTTTGGGAAGCCAAGGCAGGCGGATCATTTGAGGCCAGGAGTTTAAGACCGGCATGGTGAAATAGAAAAATTAGCCAGGCACAGTGGCGGGCGCCTATAATCCCAGGCTGAAGCAGGAGAATCACTTGAACCCAGGAGGCAGAGGCTGCAGTGAGCCAAGATTGTGCCACTGCACTCCAGCCTGGGCGACAGAGCGAGAGTGAGTGTCTCAAAAAAAGAAAAAAGAAAATTCAGTGTTAAATCCAATTTAAGGTTTTCAAACAGTGAAAAGTTTTAACTATCATAAGGCTAAGTCTATTTTCTCTTTTTTTTTTTTCCAAGATACATCCTCTTTGCTGAAAGGTAATAATGTTCTCCATGTAGAATTCAACTGAAGGACAAGAAAGTTACCAAAAATCTGATACCAGAGGGTTAGGGCTTTAAGTAAGCAATTTACAGCAACATTTGATACTTTTATAGCAAGTATTAAAATTCTTAGTTAGGTCCAAGTAGTGTCTCAATTAAGGTATGCCAAAGAGTATGAATGCCTCTATTATACACTACTGTAACAACCCTAAGAAGAAAAAACTCAGAGGGTTACCGAAGGATGAGAGTCCAAATAAACATATGTCATTCATTGAAACATGCATGACATCCATTCAAAACGCCAACAGGGCCGGGTGCGGTGGCTCACATCTGTAATCTCAGCACTTTGGGAGGCCAAGGCAGGTGGATCATTTGAGGCCAGGAGTCTGAGACCTGGCCAACATGGCAAACCACCCCCACCCCGGCCCCCTACTAAAAATACAAAAAATTATCCAGGTGTGGTGGCACATGCCTGTAGTACGAGCTACCCGGGAGGCTGAGGCATGAGAATCGCTTAAGCCTGGGAGGCAGGGGTTGCAGTAAGCCGAGATCACACCACTGCACTCCAGCCTGAGCGACAGAGCAAGACTCCATCTCAAAAAAAAAAAAAAAAACGCCAACAGAATGGTATTCAGTATGAATGAAAGAACTAAATTTTAACATTTTAATTGATTTCTTTTTGTGAAGCTGGAAGCTCGTACATGTACATTTATTTAAACACCTCACAAATGGTAATTGCAAAAATAAATTGTCCAATTTAG
This sequence comes from Homo sapiens, assembly GCF_000001405.40. Taxonomy (NCBI): domain Eukaryota; kingdom Metazoa; phylum Chordata; class Mammalia; order Primates; family Hominidae; genus Homo; species Homo sapiens. The sequence goes on along the minus strand of NC_000010.11, from coordinate 137,963 downwards.
AGACTGTAAAAGGAAGAGTTGGTTTTCATATGAGCAATCTCTATGGGGGAAAAGCACCATGTGAAATACAGAAATCCTTTAAGTAACAGAGTCAAGCAAGACAAATATTTTGATTCTGTCATAATCACATCCCATATCCTCTGATCTCTGATTCTCTAGCCTGGTCATCTTATAAAGATGAGTCAACCAAAAATAACAACTATAATGTAACCTGTGCCAGTTAGTCAAAGACAAGGCAAATTAAATGCCTCTACAGACATTCATATTTTTTCTCCTGCTTGTAAAAAGACATTCAGAAAAACTACAAAGATGACCCTGCCTACCAGAAAGCACTCTAACTTTTCAACTTTCAAAGTACAACCAACACTATCTCCCTGATAACATCCAACCATTAATTAAAATCAACCTCAAAAATCTGAAAACGTTGTGCACACCATAATTACTAAGCTAAAATTACTATATTTCTCAGTTTACAGGAAAACAAGTAAACATTTACTTTCTGCTTTTGGACAAACAGATTAAATTATTTTTAAGAATGTTCTTGCCTCCATATGACTCAGCTTACTGTGGGATGCAGAACACCTAAGTGAGGAGGACCAAGGGCTCTAGACCTCCCTAAAAACCCAACCTGCACCACTCCCTCCTACCAGCAGGGTCCTGAATGGGCCACCTGGGTATCTCCTCCAGGCTCACATTCTTGACACCAGATACCATGTACACACTGTATATGACCCAGGGTACTAGATACCCTGAATATGACAGTGGGTACTGTGTACACAGTACATATGACACTCGGTACTAGGTACACACTGCATCTGACACTGAGTACAGCTTATGTGACAAGGATAGTGCATGCATGGTGCATATGACATTGGGTACCATATATGCATGGCATATGACATTGGGTACTACCTACACACCATATATAACACTATGTAATGTATACATACTGTACATGCCACCAGATATATATACAAAACATAGATAACACCAGGTAGTGTATATACACTGTATATGACACCAGATACTATATACCTAACGTATATGACATTGAATACTGCATACACACCGCATATGGCAGCACGGTACCGTGCACATACTGCACAAAATACCGGGAACCGCGTAAGGGCTGTATATGACACTGGGTGCTGCATACACAGTGTGAAAGGATACTATGTACACACCATATATGACCCCAAGTACTGTGTGCACACAGTATATGACACCTGGTACTATACACACCGCATATATGACACCAGGTACTACATACACACTGTATGTGACAACAGGTAAGGTAAATATATTCAATACTATCCAGATACTACATACACTCGTATATAACATGGAGTACCACACGCACAGCTCATATGGCAGCAGGGTACCAGGCACCTACTGCACACAATACCGGGGGCTGAGTGCACAGCCTAAGCGAGGAAGATACATGTACACACCGTGTATGATAGCCGGTACGACACCGGGTACTTCGAGCACACTGCATATGACACAGAGTACACACCATATATAATCCCCGGTACTGCGTACCCACCGCATAGGACACCGCACTGCACAACGAGCACTGGTACACACGAATAAAACAGGTACGGCGGTCACTCTGCAAAAGACACCGGGCACGGCGCACACATCGCCAGCTCCTCCTCCTCCCGGCTCGGGAGAAAAGCGCGAGGAGAGACTGCAAGTGAAAGTCCGGGTCCCGGCGCCCCCCCTCGTCCCAGCCGCGTCCTCAGCAGCTTCTCCCCGGAGCTCTGGGTGGGAGGAGGGCGGCGGACCCCACAGGACTGTCCCGGAGGTCCGCGAGGACCTGTTGAGGCGGCGGCCTCGCTGCCGGGGTCGCTCACAGCCCCGGGGGACCGACGAATCTCCGCCCCGGGCCTCGGGGCCAGCCCTGCCCGCCGCTCCCGGGCTAGCACACGACGTGCCGCGCCGACAAACGCTTCCTCTCCGCCCGCCACACGCCCGGAGCCGCGTTCCCCGCCGGCCCGGACTGCGCACGGGCCCAGGAGGCCTGACCGAAAGCGGGGCACAGGGCCCGGCGGGCGGTGCTCACGCGACTCCGCGGCTTCCCGGCCCGAGCAGGCCCCGCGCGGTCCTCCGGGGCCTCATCCCGGGGCCTCTTCCGCGGCCGCCCAAGGCGAGTGGGCGCGGGCCGGCAGCCTCCGCAGGCCCCGCCGCCGCCCTCGCAGGCCCCGCCGGCCCGGCCCGCCCCGCCATCCACAAAGCTCCCCGGCAGCTCGGAGCTCTTCGCGAGCGGGCGAGCGACCGTCAGCACCCACTGGTGCCGCCGCCGCCCCAGAGGCCGCGGCCAGGCAGGCTCCACCGCGCGGGCCGCGCCATCTCCACGGACGCCCCCGCCCGCCCCGCCGCCCCGCCGCCGAGCTTTCCCCACCATTATGCTCCGGCTCCTCCACCGCCGCCGCCGCCGCGCCCGGCCCTCCCCTCCGGTGCCGCCTCCTTCCCGCCGCCCGGCGCCTCTCGGGCCTGAGCCGGCGACGGGCGCGGGGGGCGGGGGGGACGCTCAGGCCGCCTCCTCCTCCTCCCTGCCGGCCTCCTCCCTCCTCCCCGGCTCCCCCCCGCCCGGACCCCGCCGCCGGCTCCGCGCGAAGGGCTCCGGGCTCGAGGGGCGCCATGTTTGTAATACTCCACCTCAGAGAACGCCGCGGTCGCGCCTGAGCGAGGGAGGCTAGGCGGCCGGGTCGCCGCGTGCGGGGTGAGGGCCGGGAGGGCACCGCCGCCCGCACTTACTCGCGTCTTCCCCTGGCGCCGCGGGCCTGCGGGGCCGGAGCGGGCGGCGGGAAGTTGGGCGCCGCCGCCCGGGAAAGTTGGGTCCCCGCGAAGCCGCGGCAGCCGCTCACATGGCGATGCGCGCGGGGCGGCCGCTCGGCCCCACCGGCCCCTCGGCCCGCCCGCCCTCGGAGTTTATTGTGTCGGGTCGAGGCGCCCCGCGGCCGGGCCGCGCACTGGGGGCTCTAGCGGCTGGCGCCGGACTTGCGCGCGGCCGGCCCGGCTCGCGGCCGCCTCCCGCCCGGGGCCGGAGCCGTGCACGCGGCTCCTACCTTCCCCACGTCCTGTCTTCGGCGCCTCTATCCGAAATTTGTTGGAGCATATTCCTCTGTCTCCACACATGCACTCCGTATCCACACACACGTGAAGGCTACGTACGTGCAGGCGCGCTGGAGCCGGGAGCGGGCGCCGAGGCCGGGGCGCGAGGGGGCATTGTCAGGCGCCGCCGCAGCTCAGCCCCGGGTGGACCCGGTGCCTGCCCCTGGCTCGCGGGGTCCGGAACAGCGAAGTCTGAGAAGTACGAGTGCTTCTCTTAACAACATTGTTTAGGTAGTCTGAACAGCCCTTTACTCCTGTCATCAAAAAGAGCGGTAGGGATACGCTAAGTTCCCCGTTTCATCTCTGCGCAAACAGGACCGCGAAAAGAACAGGACCACCCATCAGCAGCCCTGCAAGAACACTGCAGATTTGCGCGAGAAGTAGGTTATCTTCTATGGAGAGGAATTCTAGACCTAATCAGAGACGATCCCTTAAGACTCTGGTTTAAGAAAGGTTCGGAGATAAGCATACTTTGATAGCGTTCACCTGTTTTCCCTGAGGACCTTTCGCCACTGGGAGTCGGGGAACACCTGTCAGTCAGAGTCCTCTGCTCTGAAATTCGGTGAGTACAGGACAGCAAGGTGTTTTCAGGGAGACCGCATTCTCATAACTTTTACTACAGTATAGTGTTATAATTGTTCTGGTTTATTATTAGTGTTGTTAATCTCTCATTGTGCCTGACTTCTAAATTAAACTTTATTATAGGCAGGTGTGTATAGGAGAAAACGTAGTGTAAGTAAGGTTCAGCACTACCCCGGGTTTCAGGTATCTATTGGCCGTCTTGGCACGTGTCCCCACCTGAAAAGTCATTAGGAAGAGACGGTTGTAGGAATTTGGGGATTCTGATAAAATATATCAATCTGCTTCTACAGCTGGTTTCTAAGACTGTTAGAATTTAGAAATGGGTGGTACTTGAATAGGTCTGTGATATACACTAGTCAAATAAACACAATCTTTCATGCTATTCACAGCCCTCAATCTGATACATCCCAGAGAGTTTTTGATTATCTCAAAGAACATCACAGAATAATTGTAATTCATTTTAAGAGTAAATATATATCGCTAAAAATTTAGTAGAGGGGTTAAAACGTGTCAGAAGAAAAGCAAGCCATGCCTGGTTTGAATGTTGGGCCAGGAATTCCAACAATGAAGAGCTTTCAGTGAGTCACCTTTTTAAACAGTCTGTTACTTCATCTGTAAAATAGAGGACTGCATGGTTCTGTGTATTTTAGAGAAGGCACTCGAGTAAGACAACATCGTATCAATAAAAGGAAGCTTACCTTTTAGGAAAGAAGTGGCAGCATAACTCCACATTTTTTTCCCAGTTATACTTTGTAGGGATCATTTAAAATTTTATACGCAGATACCATCTCTCATTCAACCTAATGTAAGTTAGATAACTTACCCTGATTTTCCTGTTGGTTTTGCCTAGAATTTAACCCTTGGCTCTATTTTCCAAGTAAGGTGGTATTTATCCACTAAGATGAATACGAATATCCCTCCCCACATAAAACGCAAAAGCCATGGATAATGTACAATAGAAGAAATAAAACTATTAATAAATACTGACAGCTATTCTAATTCACTAGTAATGACACATTCAAACAACGTAACATTGCTTTTCTTCAAAGGACAGAATTCTTTTCCAGTGATAATGCTACTGATGGTTAGCGAAATGAACGCTTATATACACTGCTGGCAGAAAATTGGGTTGATGTCAACTCTCTTGAAATGCATACCAAGAGGCCATTAAAACAGTTTGATTTATCTCATTTGCCCCTCAGCTGAATGAATGTGTGTGTGTGGGTCTGGGGACCAAAGGTTTGAGGTTTGGAGGAAGCCCAGAAGACCAGTAACTAATTGCTGTGCTAGTATCTTACATGACAAAGCTATACTGTTTATACAATTGAATACAGACAGATTTTTACTTCTTGATTCTCCTTTTTGCATTGGTGAGTTTCAAAGCGGGTGCCACTGAGCCCTGGGGCTTCTCAGAGCTGTCGGGGAGCTGTCTCTGCAGGACCAAGACGTGGGAATACTCCTCCCGCCCCCAATCAGACAGCACTGCTCTATTTTCTAGAATGAGTGTCCAGATCAGATTTCATTACCTGGCTATTGGGACAGTATAGTGTGTGTAAGGTAATAATTGCTCAAACTCATTTGACATGAGTTAGGGTTTAGTCTCATTATTTATTTTGTTAAATATTATCAGGAAATACTGTGGAAGAAAATGTTAACTGTAACTGTAATAAAGTGTGGACTGCTGCAGATGGCTGTGAGTGTAAACGTCACAGCACCTTCATTGGCCCATGGCCTCCAGAGCCGCTTCCTGCTGCGGGGCAGCCCTCAAAAATGTGTGTCTAGTGAGTGTCATCTCTTACACATGCTACAGCCCCCCATCCTCAGACCCCCAAGAAAGCAAGAGGATAAGAAACATTCAGTAAGAGACAGATGCTGAAGTGAGCAGTCATGATCTAGCCACTCCACAAGGTTAGTTCGTACTGCAAAGGGAGACTTTCTCAGAGACCAATAAAATATATATATATAAAATATATATATTATATTACATATTTTTTTTGAGCAGCAGCAAGATTTATTGTGAAGAGCGAAAGAACAAAGCTTCCACAGCGTGGAAGGGGACCCGAACGGGTTGCCCCAATGAAATATTTTCTAAGACTATACAATGTTCTTTGATTTCATTCCATGCCTTTCTGACTTCTGATAACAGTTTTCCGTAGTCTTTAGTATTAGATATTGATGTTTTGAATATGGTTGTGGTTTCTCCTTATCTTCTCCTCTATTAGATTAACATTCTGGCATATAAGTTACTATATAACAAGTTTATTAATGTTGCTTAAGGATTTCCAGTCACCTGTGGATGCTTTTAAAAATCATGTTTTTGAAACTAGAAAGCTGTGGTCCGAACTCTGTAACAGCAGTTACCATTCATTGATGCTGCCACCCTCTGTGGCTCAGACTGAAACTGCTACTATCCATATTTTAATTTTAAAAAACTTTCAGCCAGGAATAGTGGCTCACATCTATAACCCCAACACTTTGGGAGGCCAAGGCGGGAGGTACACTTGGGGCCAGGAGTTCGAGAACAGCCTGGGCAACATAACGAGGACGCATCTCTACAAAATTAAAAAAAAAAAATAGCCAGATGTGGTGGCTCACTCCTGTAGTCGCAGCTACTCGAGAAGCTGAGGGAGGAGGATGGCTTGAGCACAAGAGGTCAGGGCTGCAGTGAGCTATGATTGCATCCCTGCACTCCAGCCTGGACAACAGAGCAAGACGTTCTCCAGGAGAAACTGTCAGTATAAGAAATCCATTTCCATTGAAAGCCATGATTCTTCCAATACTTAAGTGGCAGCTTTTTACTACACAGCAACCGAGGAGCTGAGCTGACAGTGCTTGCCAGGCCTAGTTCCAGTGCCTGTGGGCCTTGAAACCCAGGCTCCGGGCATCTCTTCAGGGCTCCATAGCTGTGGCTTCTGAAATTCAGTTCCCCACTTCTGTCCATGAATGTACAGTATTTGTTAGAAGTAGGTCCTCCCATACTCAGGTTAATATGCTTCAAAACATTTAAGGAAAAGTAGGATCCTGTCTTTTCAAGGGCAACTCATCACACAAGATGAAAAACAGATGTTTGTGTATGTGTGTGCCTTCTTTCCTTCAAAATTGTGATTCTAACCTTTTCCCTGTCTCCCTGGTCCCTGTTTTCCTTTTTTTGAGATAGGGCTCACTCTGTCACCCAGGCTGGAGTGCAGTGGCACCATCTTGGCTCACTGTAACATCCACTCCTGGGCTCAAGCGATCCTCCCACCTCAGCCTCCCGAGCAGCTGGGACCACAGGTGCATGCCACCGTGCCCAGCTAATTTTGTATTTTTGGTAGAGATGGGGTTTCGCCATGTTGCTTACGCTGGTCTCGAACTCCTGAGCTCAAGTGATCTGCCCATCTTGGCTTCCCCAGTGCTGGAATTACAGGCGCGAGCCACCGTGCCCGGCCCCGACTCTCTTCTATAGCATGATGTAGAAGAATATGCACTAGTGCACCTGAGTCCAAATTCCAACTCACTGTGAGACATTCAAGTGATTTCACCTTTTTGAACCTTGGTTTCCCTGTTTTTCAGGAGTATGATTTTCTAACATCAGATTGCTTGGATTAGAGTCCTAACTCCACCATTCTCTAGCTATTGACCTTGGACAAGTTATTTACCAATTTATGTCTCATTTTCCTCATCTGTGAAATGGGAATAATATACGATTTCATAGTGGTCATTGAGAGGATTAAATGAGAAAATGCATGTAAAATTATAATACTGCCTGCTTGGAATAACTTCAGTATTAGTGGCTACAATTATTATTATCTGTAAAATGGTAATGATGAATATTAAACGGGCCAAATATTGTGAAATGCCTGACACAAAAGGAGCTCCCCTTCTACCACGTCCCGTAGTCGAGCACACAGCACAACAAAGCGAAGACACCTAAGGACACAAGAATGTACCTGATTAATTGCAGGTGCATCTCCAGTTCCTCATTGCTCCCCACAGACCCAGCAGCCCAACCCAGGCTGGATCCTGGGGATTTCCTCCTGGCTTTTGATCTTTAGCTCCAGATGAATTGCCATTACCTGGAACAGAAGAAACAATTTCAGCCTGTGTTGACTCTCTTAGGTTTTTTGTTTGTTTGTTTGTTGTTTGTTTTTCAGAACTGCAGTTCCAGCAGCCACTTCCCCAGACTCTGCTTCTGACTAGTTATGTAACTTTTGGCACGTAGCAACCTCTCCCAGCTTCAGTTCCCTTCTCTGTAAATGATGGAGGTTTACAATTCGCACAAGGTTCCCATTAGTACTAAAATTCTATGAATTCCAATGCTATACCGGCCTCTGTTCCTGGAAATCCTGTTGTTTCTGCTCTGTTCTTCAAAAGCTCTCTTATCAGATATACTTTCTGGTCCTATTTCTCTTTTCCCCTGGCTTCCTTTCTTCCTCACCGCACTTAATGATGCCTGGCCTCTCTGCAGGCACTATCACACCGCTGCTTCCCTGCAGAAAACTTCTTCCCCTGGGATGGAAGCCAGGACTCTTTAAGAGACTTATTCTTGGATTCACAATATACAGAGGCATGGGGATAATTGCTGTCATATCTTGAGAAGTTATTCTCTTCTTCATTTAAACATTTCAAGTACCAGAAAATGCACACTTACATGTTTATATACTTCCTCCAACCTCTTGTCAGGGATACCTTTCCAACATGTTTTCACTTTTTAGGAAGGACAAAATTTAGTCATAGGCTCCACTCTCAGCTTATGGAGAGTTTCATGCAGTGAACTTACATTAAAACAAAAAGAGGCACCTGCACTTGGCCATCATTACTAAGGTCTATACACACATGTCAGTGATCATATCTGAACACAGAGCTGTGAACATGCCTCTTCCATGTTACATTTTACAGAAATTCCCTTCTCATTGCCACCTATTTGTGGCAATGGCAAATGAGAATCTGTGCGGGAATTTTTTTACTTTCTTTTCTGAGACGGAGTCTGGCTCTGCTGCCAGGCTGGAGTGCAGTGGTGCAATCTCAGCTCGCTGCAACCTCCACCTCCCGGGTTCAAGCGATTCTGCTGCCTGGGCCTCCCGAGCAGCTGGGACTACAGGAGCGCGCCACCACACCCAGCTAATTTTTGTGTTTTTAGTAGAGACGGGGTTTCACGATGTTGACCAGGTTGGTCGCTATCTCTTGACCTCGTGATCTGCCCGCCTCGGCCTCCCAAAGTGCTGGGATTACAGGCGTGAGCCACTGCGCCCGGCCTTTTAGTTTCTTTAAAACCCAGTACTGTGGTATATAGCATTTAAGATTTTCATTCTCTTCCTTCAGCTTTCTCACAGTTGTGATTACTCATGTTCCCATGCAAATTAATGTTTAAGAAATCATCACAGTATTTACCACTGATGCCTTTGGAATTTTCTGTTGTTCTGAAGGATTCTCCCGTTTGTTAATTTTCATAAAAGCTTTCTTTGGGTTTGGTTAATTGGCATAAAATTAAAACTGATGTTATCTTTATGTATGTTTTAAGTTTTTAATACAAACAAAGCTCAGAGAAATTGTAAAAAGGCTGATGGGATAGGAACATTTAAATAAATAAACATTTATAAACACATAAATAAATAGTTCATAGGAAACTGTCTTCTAGAAGTAGTAAAGTATAAAACGTCCATTTGTATTCTTCTATTATTTGAAGAAAACTATGTCTTAATAAATTGTCCAGTGATAAATCCCTTAAAGACCTAGAGAAAAATATAGTAAACACATTAGATCTCGCAGGGGAAATGGTAGAAAGTAAATATCTAGGAGAACAATAAAATGAAATGTAAATAATTACAGTGCCAAATTATACTTTCTACAAAATAATTATATTTCAAAAATATTTCCTACATTATTTGGCCATTGTCTCTGCACTTACAGTTTGATTGGTTTCTTTTGCTTATGTGCAGTATTGAGATAAAGTCAAAGAAAAGTTGGAGGCCAGTCATGGTGGTTCGCATCTGTGGTCCCAGCTACTGTGGAGGCTGAGGCAGGAGGATTGCTCAAGCATAGGAGTTTGAGGCTGCAGTGAGCCATGATTGTGCCAATGCACTCCAGCCTGGGCAACAGAGCAAGACCCAGTCTCAAAAAACAAACCAAAAAAAAAAAAGGAGAAGAAAGAAAAGCTTCAGAGGGCACAACTTCCTTTTTTCTTTTAATGTAACTGCACTGAGAATTTCAAGCACAGGAAGTTCTACATCCTCAACTACCATGCGTAGAAAGCAAAACATAGAAAGCGACGCGTTTCTTTCCGCATCGTCACCTTCCTCCTTCCATCAGTCAGTCCGCAGTCCCGCTTCTCCAGTGAAGCCTGGTGTTAATTTTCCACACACAGTGTTATTCAGGGGCTGATTATCCTCTCTTATTTGTATTCATTTGTTTTTTTATACCTATTTTGAAAATTCATACAGAATATAGGCAAAGAAGCTAAAAGAAAAAGTGAAACTCAGCACATTTTTAATTTTTTATTAGTAATTGCATTTTTAAAAAAGGACAGTTACTGGAAGAGAAGGTAATTGAATATAGATTACAACAAGATTTAGGGACAATTATAGAATTTCTTGTATATTTACTAATAAATGAATGCTAATTATCTTTTATGTAAATGGCATTTTATGCCAGCAAGATGTTTTATATGTACATATGCACACACACACACGCGCGATAGAGCGATGGCTAAATAAATTGTGATTTATTCCTATGATAGGATTTATGTAACTATTAAAGAAGTTGTTTATAAAAGTCTTTCTTATTGTTAAGTGCAAAACTAGGATTAGGATAGACGTTAAAGAAAAGGATCATATAGTGTAAAAATAAACATGTATATTAGTAGAAAGAGACCACAAAGTGTTATGAAAAAATACTAACTATATTAATCTCTGGCAAATAAAAGTATTTGTGTTTTAGTTTTTCTTTTTTTTATTTTTATTTTCTTGTGTCGTATTCATATTTCAATTATTAAAAAATGTTGTTCTAGAAATTGTGAACCAAAAGTATCTGAGACAGGTCTCAATCAATTTAGAAAGTTTATTTTGCCAAGGTTGAGGACATGCCCATGGCACTGCCTCAGGAGGTCCTGATGACATGTGCCCAAGGTGTTCAGGACACAGCTTGGTTTTATACGTTTTAGGGAGACATGAGACATCAGTCAACCCGTGTGAGATGTACATTGCTTGGGTCTGGAAAGGCAGGACAACTCAGTTAGGGGCTTCCAGGTCATAGATAAGAGACAAACGGTTGTATTATTTCGAGTGTTTGATCAGCCTTTCGCTGAGATACACAATTTACACGTGAGATGGGGGTAGACAGATAGTCACTTATGCCTTAGTCTGGCTCAGCGACTGCATTTTTACATAAATGATAAGGCAGAGGAAGCAATCAGATATGCATTTGTCTCAGGTGAGCAGGATGACTTTGAGTTCTGTCCTTTGTCCCACACCTGTGAAAATAAGCTATCAATTTACCTTGCCAGGGTAAAAATTCAACAGAATGGTTTTAGGGTAAAGATCGTGAGCCCCCGCCCCTCCCCCCCCCCCAACGGAATTTCCTTGTGAGCAAAATTGTGAGTAAGGTATGTAGCTTTTTTATCTTTGTGGCTATCTTATTTGGGAATAAAATGGAAAGCAGGTTTGTCTGACCCAGTTCCCCAGCTTGACTTTCCCCTTTGGCTTAGTGATTTTGGGTCCTGATATTTATTTTCCTTCCACAAAGTGAAATGTTGGATTTTAGCAGACTTGCTGTGCAACTTTAAGTGGTATTTGTTTAGCAAGCAACTAAACCAAAAGTACCATGCAATGCAGGTAATAGAACATTTTATTTATTTATTTATTTATTTATTTTGAGACAGAGTCTCACTCTGTTGCCCAGGCTGGAGTGCAGAGGCATGATCTCAGCTCACTGCAAACTCTGCCTCCCGGGTTCAAGCAATTTCCATGCCTCAGCCCCCCGAGTAGCTGGGACTACAAGCGTGCACCACCACACCTGGCTAATTTTTGTATTTTTAGTAGAGACGGGGTTTCACCATGTTGACCAAGGTGGTTTGGAACTCCTGACCTCAAGTGATCCACCCACCTTGGCCTCATAAAGTGCTGAGATTACACTCAGGTGTGCTGGGCCACTGTACCTGGCCCAGAAAATTTATTTTTAATTAAATATTATATTCCTATGAATACATTTATTCTGTTAAATGAAGAACAACTCTACTGTTCATAGTAATATCAAATTGAAGCCATTTTTATAGGTCAAAGAAAGTGGATACTGGCATTTTCATATGGTTCAACCTCATAGCATTGGTTTTCACATTCTCTGATTGGGATTTTAGAAAAATAAAATCAAAAGTGAAGCCAGACATAAGTGTGTTCAGTACGAAAATGGTAATCCAATAGACTAAGTGGGAGTGCAAGTACAAGAAATGCTCATGATAGCATTTCATGTAGGTTTTCCCTCTAATTCAATCAACTTCTAGAAGTCAGTTGTAGTAGTCCACTCTCACACTGCTATGAAGAACTACCTGAGACTGGGGAATCTATGAAGAAAAGAGGTCCAATTGACCACAGTTCAGCAGGCTTAACTGGAAGCATGGCTGGGAGGCCTCAGGAAACTTACAATCCTGGCAGAAGGACAAAGGGGAAGCACCTTCTTCTCATGGCGGCAGGAGAGAGAGAGCCAAGGGGGAAGTGCCATACACTTTTAAACCATCAAATCTCATGAGAACTCACTATCACAAGAACAGCAAGGGGGAAATCCACCCCCATGATCCAAATATCTCCCACTAGGTCCCTCCCTTGACACGTGGGGATTAAAACTTGATATGAGATTTGGGTGGGGAAACGGCGCCAAACCATATCATCAGTTCCATATTTTACATTAAGAGTTACAGTGATGTTGAACTCATATTCCTTGTGGAGGTTAAAAACTCTTTATATGATGGTGAGAAGTTTTAGTTAGAAAATTTAGTTCTTCTATAAATTTATCTTTGATTATTAGATCCCTTGCACAATAAGGACCTGTATTCATTAAACTAAAATAAAATATTCTGAGAACTGTATGGTGTGACTAAGCTTTTACCGTCCCAGCTCACTTAATCCTTACCAACTGATAACTCTAGTGCCCACATTTTACTCATGAGGAAACTGAGAATTGGAAAGATAAAATATCTTGCCTAGGCTTCCAGCTGACAAGTGACCTATCCCAGGCTTGAGTCCAAGATTATCTACTGACAGATCTGAAGTCTGGACTTTTAATTACTATTCCTATTCAAGTCTGTCATTTCAGATGTATTACCCAATTAGGATCACATTGTTTAAAGTCTATACTTGTAATGCCACACACAGAAAACCTCCTTGCTTTGTATTAAAAATTTATATTTTGTCCATCAGAGCAATCGATTTAAAAAATTTTAAAAAGAAGCACGCACTAAACCAAGGGTTTTAGATATGTGAAAAATTCTAAAACAAGCAACAAATAAATCCAAAATATTATATTTAGATGAGTCACTCAAAGTGAAAAAAAGATCTTTCCTTTGGCCACCTAGTGTTTAAGAGTGTAGAATTCACAGCTAGGCCCATCATGGTTATTATGTCTATTAATTATTCCAAGAGATCCAATTACTCAGATTCTTTTATGGCAAGACTTGGTAGATGAGGACAGATAAAGAGAAGGAATTCAAAAGTATGGTCAGGTGTGAGACTTACAACTACTATATTCTTTTAATTATATATATATATATATATATATATATATATATATATATATTTTTTTTTTTTTTTTTTAGATGAAGCCTCTCTCTGTTGCCCTGGCTGGAGTGCAGTGTCACGATCTTGGTTCACTGCAACCTCCACCTCCCAGGCTCAAGTGATTCTCATGCCATTGCCCCCAAAATAGCAGGGACCACAGGTGTTAGCTACCACACCCAGCTAATTTTTGTATTTTTTTGGTAGAGAGGGGGTTTTGTCATGTTGGCCAGGCTGGTCTCAAACTCCCGACCTCAAGTGATCTGCCCTCCCCAGCCTCCCAAAGTGCTGGGGCTACAGGCATGAGCCACTGCACCTTGCCTATAATTCTTTATCAAAGCATTTGCATTAAAATTCAGCTTGTATGACGCTTTTATATTATAACCTGAATTGAAATATTTTTATTACTGTTAATCTTATAACATGACATTAATTTTTGTTAGTATGTGACTGTGTGACATAGCCAATTTCCATGCTAGAGAATTTGAGTCTACATAGTTTTCCAATTGCTTATGTGATGTTATATACATAATGTAAAAATTTCTTAAATGTGAAAATAAAAGCAACAAAATAAGCTAACTTTAAAATGAAAGGTAAAGTCAGAAGGAATTTAGTACACTTGTAGGGTTAAGAAAATTCATTAAAATCATTTTTTACCTATAAAACTCAACTTACTAAGTTTATGTTTAGATATTGACATAAACGTGTTGTTCCTATATCATAGAAAAGAATGAAGAGTGTTTTCCTTCGATATGTGGATTTTACAAAATATTTTGGAACCGTAGGCTCATTTGTCCTTTCCTTCCTTCCTTCCTTCCTTCCTTCCTTCCTTCCTTCCTTCCTTCCTTCCTTCCTCCTTCCGTCCTTCCTCCTTCCTTCCCTCCATGTCTCCTTTACCTCATATCAATATATTCCTTCTTCCTCTCTGTGGAGTTCATCCTCCCTTTAAACTTTATTAGCTAGATCACTGTGATCTTCCCATAATCTGTATTCCTAAAATACTAAAAGTCAAAAACATATACTCTAGCAATTGACATCATGCATAATAGAGGTGAAAGAGGTCTCCAAACATCCATTGGTCTAGAATTTTGCCTTTTGCCCCTTGGAAGGATGGAAGGAAACTGGGTCTTTGATAACATCCCTGAGTCTGAAAGATCCATCCCAGGAGTTGGATATAAACTGAAGCTGGACAGACGTCAATCGTTTTTATATATATTTAAGAGTTTAGAACTCACAGGTCTTCTTGTTGGATAAAATTGGGGAATCAAGGAAATGAAGAAATTAGATATAGCACCCAAATTTTTGGACTGAGTAACTGAAAGAATAGTGTCATTTTTGGAAATGGAGAATATTTGGGGAGGAACAGGTTTTAGAGCGGAATCAGGAATTCTATTCCTGATGTTAACTTTGAGTTATGCTCAAGACATGCAAGAAGAAATATCAGATAAGCAGATGGGTACAGATATAGTAGTCAGGAGCTTAAGAGAAAGGTAAAGACTGGGGACATGCATTTGGGAATCACCAACATTTAGTTGTTACTTAACATCATTGGACTGGATGAGGCTGTCTTTAGAGATTATAGATGGGGAAAAGAAAGACACCCAAATAAAAGCCCTGTTTGATCCCTACATAGACTAGAAAGACTCTGCAAAGAAGAACAAGAAGCTGGCTTGTGCTGGGTCCAGTGGCTTATGCCTATAATTCCAGTACTTTGGGAGGCTGAAGTAGGAGGATTGCTTGATCCTGGGAGTCTGAGGCTGCAGTGAGCCATAATCGTGCCATTGCACTCCAGCCTGGGTGACAGGGTGAGACCCTGTCTCAAACAAAAAAATAAACCCAAAAAGTTGGCTTGTGAAGAAGGAGGAAAGCTAGTTCCGTGTGGTCATTGAGAAGTGAGACATGAAAATGTCTTGATCATAGAGCATGATCTGATACTTTGAAACTTGCTGAGAAAATCCTTAGAGACCTACAAAGAGACTAAGACTCCCACACAATAATAATGGAAGACTTTAACACCCCACTGTCAACATTAGACAGATCAACGAGACAGAAAGTCAACAAGGATACCCAGGAATTG
The DNA here is from genome assembly GCF_000001405.40 of Homo sapiens. Classification (NCBI taxonomy): domain Eukaryota; kingdom Metazoa; phylum Chordata; class Mammalia; order Primates; family Hominidae; genus Homo; species Homo sapiens. The sequence continues at coordinate 122,447 of NC_000010.11, read as the reverse complement.
AACTCAGCTCTGCACCAAGCAGACCTAATAGACATCTACAGAACTCTCCACCCCAAATCAAGAGAATATACATTCTTCTCAGCATCACACCGCACTTATTCCAAAATTGACCACATAATTGGAAGTAAAGCACTCCTCAGCAAATGTAAAAGAACAGAAATCATAACAAACTGTCTCTCAGACCACAGTGCAATCAAACTAGAACTCAGGATTAAGAAACTCACTCAAAACCGCTCAACTACATGGAAACTGAACAACCTGCTCCTGAATGACTACTGGGTACATAACGAAATGAAGGCAGAAATAAAGAGGTTCTTTGAAACCAACGAAACCAAAGACACAACATACCAGAATCTCTGAGACACATCTAAAGCAGTGTGTCGAGGGAAATTTATAGCACTAAATGCCCACAAGAGAAAGCAGGAAAGATGTAAAATTGACACCCTAACATCACAATTAAAAGAACTAGAGAAGCAAGAGCAAACACATTCAAAAGCTAGCAGAAGGCAAGAAATAACTAAGATCAGAGCAGAACTGAAGGAGATAGAGACACAAAAAACCCTTCAAAAAATCAATGAATCCAGGAGCTGGTTTTGTGAAAAGATCAACAAAATTGATAGACCGCTAGGAAGGCTAATAAAGAAGAAAAGAGAGAAGAATCAAATAGACGCAATAAAAAATGATAAAGGGGATATCACCACCGATCCCACAGAAATACAAACTACCATCAGAGAATACTATAAACATCTCTACGCAAATAAACTAGAAAATCTAGAAGAAATGGATAAATTCCTGGACACATACACCTGCCCAAGACTAAACCAGAAAGAAGTTGAATCTCTTAATAGGCCAATAACAGGCTCTGAAATTGAGGCAATAATTAATAGCTTACCAACCAAAAAAAGTCCAGGACCAAACGCATTCACAGCCAACTTCTACCAGAGGTACAAGGAGAAGCTGGTACCACTCCTTCTGAAGCTATTCTAATCAGTAGAAAAAGAGGGAATCCTCCCTAACTCATTTTATGAGGCCAGCATCATCCTGATACCAACGCCTGGCAGAGACACAACAAAAAAAGAGAATTTTAGACCAATATCCCTGATGAACATCGATGCAAAAATCCTCAATAAAATACTGGCAAACCGAATCCAGCAGCACATCAAAAAGCTTATCCACCATGATCAAGTGGGCTTCATCCCTGGGATGCAAGGCTATTTCAACATATGCAAATCAATAAACGTAATCCAGCATATAAACAGAACCAAAGACAAAAACCACATGATTATCTCAATAGATGCAGAAAAGGCCTTCGACAAAATTCAACAACCCTTCATGCTAAAAACTCTCAATAAATTAGGTAGTGATGGGACATATCTCAAAATAATAGGAGCTATTTATGACAAACCCACAGCCAATATCATACTGAATGGGCAAAAACTGGAAGTGTTCCCTTTGAAAACTGGCACAAGACAGGGATGCCCTCTCTCACCACTCCTATTCAACATAGTGTTGGAAGTTCTGGCCAGGGCCATCAGGCAGAAGAAAGAAATAAAGGGTATTCAATTAGGAAAAGAGGAAGTCAAATTGTCCCTGTTTGCAGATGACATGATTGTATATCTAGAAAACCCCATCGTCTCAGCCCAAAATCTCCTTAAGCTGATAAGCAACTTCAGCAAAGTCTCAGGATACAAAATCAATGTGCAAAAATCACAGGCATTCTTATACACTAATAGCAGAGAAACGGAGAGCCAAATCATGAGTGAACTCCCATTCACAATTGCTTCAAAGAGAATCAAATACCTGGGAATCCAACTTACAAGGGATGTGAAGGACCTCTTCAAGGAGAACTAGAAACCACTGCTCAATATAATAAAAGAGGATACAAACAAATGGAAGAACATTCCATGCTCATGGATAGGAAGAATCAATATCGTGATAATGGCCATACTGCCCATGGTAATTTATAGATTCAATGCCATCCCCGTCAAGCTACCAGTGACTTTCTTCACAGAATTGGAAAAAACTACTTTAAAGTTCATATGGAACCAAAAAAGAGCCTGCATCGCCAAGTCAATCCTAAGCCAAAAGAACAAAGCCAGAGGCATCACGCTACCTGACTTCAAACTATGCTACAGTCTGATACTGGTACCAGAACAGAGATATAGACCAATGGAACAGAACAGAGCCCTCAGAAATAATACCACACATCTACAACCATCTGATCTTTGACAAACCTGACAAAAACAAGAAATGGGGAAAGGATTCCCTATTTAATAAATGGTGCTGGGAAAACTGGCTAGCCATATGTAGAAAGCTGAAACTGGATCCCTTCCTTACACCTTATACAAAAATTAATTCAAGATAGATTAAAGACTTACATTTTAGACCTAAAACCATAAAAACCCTAGAAGAAAACCTAGGCAATACCATTCAGGACATAGGCATGGGCAAGGACTTCATGTCTGAAACACCAAAAGCAATGGCAACAAAAGCCAAAATTGACTAATGAGATCTAATTAAACTAAAGAGCTTCTGCACAGCAAAAGAAACTACCATCAGAGTGAACAGACAACCTACAAAATGGGAGAAAATTTTTGCAACCTACTCATCTGACAAAGGGCTAATATCCAGAATCTACAATGAACTCAAACCAATTTACAAGAAAAAAACAACCCCATCAAAAAGTGGGCAAAGGAGATGAACAGACACTTCTCAAAAGAAGACATTCATGCAGCCAAAAAACACATGAAAAAATGCTCATCATCACTGGCCATCAGAGAAATGCAAATCAAAACCACAATGAGATATCATCTCATACCAGTTAGAATCGCGATCATTAAAAAGTCAGGAAACAACAGGTGCTGAAGAGGATGTGGAGAAATAGGAACACTTTTACACTGTTGGTGGGACTGTAAACTAGTTCAACCATTGTGGAAGTCAGTGTGGCAATTCCTCAGGGATCTAGAACTGGAAATACCATTTGACCCAGTCATCCCATTACTGAGTGTACACCCAAAGGAATATAAATCATGCTGCTATAAAGACACATGCACACGTATGTTTATTGTGGCACTATTCACAATAGCAAAGACTTGGAACCAACCCAAATGTCCATGAATGATAGACTGGATTAAGAAAATGTGGCACATATACACCATGGAATACTATGCAGCCATAAAAAAGGATGAGCTCATGTCCTTTGTAGGGACATGGATGAAAATGGAAACCATTATTCTCAGCGAACTATCGCAAGGACAAAAAACCAAACACCGCATGTTCTCACTCATAGGTGGGAATTGAACAATGAGAACACATGGACACAGGAAGAAGAACATCACACACCGGGGCCTGTTGTGGGGTGGGAGGAGCGGAGAGGGATAGCATTAGGAGATATACCTAATGTAAATGATGAGTTAATGGGTGCAGCACACCAACATGGCACGTGTATACATATGTAACAAACCTGCACGTTGTGCACATGTACCCTAAAACTTAAAGTATAATAAAAATATATATATATATAAAAGTTCTGTGGCAAGGATGTGAATTAATATCACCCATACATAGTGTAATTAATAAACTTATCTTAATAGCTGCCTAAGGAAAAAAAAAACTTGCTGAGAGATCAAATAATGAAGGCAGAGGGACCTTTTGAGCTTATTGGTGACCTTCATATAAGCAATTTCACTGTTGGAGTGAGGTGAAGCCATGTTGGTGTTCGATTACAGATTACTTTCCATACTTCAGAAAATAAATTTGAGAAAAAGTTTCATGTTTGAGAATGGTCTTTGTCAACAGGGAGACTAGGTTATAGAGAAACATCTTGGTAAAGGGGACTCAGAACTCTGTTCCTGATCCATTAAGTCAAGATTTTATTATTTTGCAGATAGAACCTTAGTCAAGTGAAAGTAACATGCCATTTATTTTACAATTACTTTTAATATACAATTTTGTTTTATGCTTGTATCTGTTCCTCTCTATTAATTTGAAGAATGAAAAGTAATACCTCTTTCTGTCCACTACAGTACAATTAAGACAGTAGTGACAACATATATATTGAATAATATGTATTGTTCCTTCATAGAAACATTATATCTAAATGTTAATATAACATTTAGATATCAACACTGATATAAAATGTGTATGTGTATTTTATATTCATAAATTTATTTTAAAATATTTAGGGGGAAAATGGGCTTTATTTTTTACAGTCCTGAATATTATCAAGCACATAGGAGAATCCTAGAGGCGGTGAGAATGCCAGTGTGTGCTCAAATAGACTTTCAAATATAATATCCGAGTTTGACTTTCACTCACTCACCTAGATGATTGTAATTCAAATGACCATTCAGCACCCGCCATGCCACTTTATTGTTTGTCCTGGGGTAAGGGACATCTTCTGCATGATATGATGATGTATGTATGTATGTGCATGTGCCTGACACATGCTAAGTACCAAATAAGCACTAGCATTTAGGGGTTTTGGGTACCCATAAATGCTCTCAATAAATGTGTTCATTTGAAAATATAATAAATAGAATTAGATTTTACTAATAACATTTAAAATTTCATTTCTTACTAAACTAAGCTCGTTAGTTGGAACCACGTTTATGGAACATAGAAAAAACTGGGATTCCTTTCCATCAAATTCCATGTCACTATGTAATTAAAACAAAAGCAAACTCTTAACATGAAATCAAAGATTAACTGGTAGCGTACTTGACACTTGAGTTTTCAAATGTCAAAATCCCAGACACAGCAACATGTGCAAAAGTATAATTTTTTACATTGTTTAAATTAATTAAAAACACATCATAAGTGATTTTTTTCCTATCCTGGTTTTACTCCTCTATAAAATTAATGCTCAGTAGGAATTACCAGTTCTTTGCCTTGTTGAATTGAGGAAGGAGTCTTCAGTGTTCAATGTTTCTTACCTTAATAAACATCATCTCCTAGTTACCTTTTCCCTCATGCAAAGAAGCCACTAAAGTGTTTATAAGATACAGGGGCCACATTTCTGCTGAATTGAAAACATGCCTGAGGGTAGAGTTTTCCAGATGCTCTCACCCTGGTGTTTTTCCTTCTGGATTTCTGATTAAAGTTCTTAATATAGTTGGTAAACCCCTCCTATGTCTCAGTGAAAACCAACATGTAAATAAAATGCATGTGCCCAGTAACATAAGTACTTACCAATATTTGTCTGCTGCTTTAGTGACTCTAAACTCACAGACAGGGCCTTAATTCAAATTCTACAGTAGAATGTGATCACCATTAAAGATGTATTTCAGTGTGTTAAATTGACCTAAATGATAACAGTAGTTTTCAGGAGATGTGTCAGTATAGAGGGTGGAATGCTATTTATTCTATCTTCTTGCAAGCGTTGACAGAAGGGCTGGAAGTGTACCCACACCCACTCATGTTTTAACAGATTGGTAGTGACCCTTAATGAAGGATTTTTCTTGTGTTCTGTTACTTGTAATATCCTGTCTTAGAGACTTTATTCCAAACTTAATGTTAAATTCAAGTAGGATAAAATGTAACAAAAATAATGAAATAATGTTGTATTTCATCATTGGAATCAAGATAAAAAGATATTTCCTCTCAACTTTTAGAGATTACCTTCCTTTGGAATTACTCTTTCATTTCTTTGCAGTGACATTCCAAATCAATAACATTGTTATCTTTCAAAGGAATTTGTTTGTCCCCAGACATGGCTGCAGATACGAAAAAAAGAAAACATCTTGTGTTTTTAATTTATTCATTTTAACTTATTACTTTCCAGTGGTTGAAGTAAATTCTTAAATTAGCAAGCCACTTGTATTTCTGATTTTTCTGTTTGCTGGAGTTTTTACTGAATGGTCTTGTATTTATGGATTTCAGGATAACAACGTCAACAGTTCAGGGCTATTTAGTTACTGAACAGTGAGGGCAACAGCTTGAGAGGGTGGAGGGAGCTGGAAAAGTAGGTTTTTGTGGACACTAGCCAGGACTTTAACCATGAATAAAAGGTTTGGGAATGAGACTCTATACAATTATTTGCCCTTTCAGTTCTCAACTGTATATTAGCTATGACTTTATTATTATTAACAACAATTGCTACCTTTCATGTGTCAATCCACGAAGTCCACTGTGATCTTTGAGAGAAACTGATAGGAAAGCAGAAAGCCTTTTCAGAATTTAGGTAACATAGTTAAATTCTAAAAGTTTACACAGGTAATAAAATTTCTGGAAGATCAATGTTTAGAATATGCATACAATTAATTTATGATTTTGTCAAAACAAGACTGATATTTAATAGATGATTTCTTTTCTTTTTTTGCTCTCTCCTTCTCTTCCAGCTGTTTTCCTTTAGGACAAGATGTGAAATGCCCAGAAGGAGTGGTTTTGTGAGGGGCTCCCCGCAGGGTGGGCAGGGGGGTGGAGAGGGCGTGGCAGAGGCAAAACTCATGGTGCCCGTGACTGCCTGCTGTGCCCAAGGTAGGCAGGGGGACCAGAGCCCATTCTGGGCACCTCCCCCAGGGAAGCCTGCTCTCTGCAGAGGGCCCTGCTCACTCACCAGGTTTCCCATTAAAGCCTGAGTAAGAAAATTAGCACATTTACAAGAAACAGAATTCCACTGCATCCTTCATGTAAAATGAGAGTAAGGAGAAAAATATTTTTTCTTACAGACTATCTTCCCGTTTATCTTTTCCTCATTGTAACAGAGACACTGCTCACACATGTAACTCCACTTTTATGACCCTGCAGCTTGTTAAAGGCCTTGTTGAATGCTACAGATGTAAAAACCTGGCAGAAACTGCCCAAGAATGAGACCAGTATCTGGGTCCACAGACACTGTTATTTTCTTTGGCCACCCTGCTTCCAGCCCTCCCATTCAGACCTGGATTCTCAGCATCAATCAGAATGATCACCACATCACCACTGAGGAGGGGTGTTCCACTGAGAACATGTGGTCTCTCCCAGCTCCAGGCAAGGAGGAGCTTTCTCCATGGCACAAGCCACCTTTTCATCTTTTGGACTTGAAGGTATCTCACAAAAATAACATCCACACTCAGAGATGAGGTAAATGTCTGTTAATTTGTATGTAACAAGGCAATGTATTGGTAATTTTTAAAATTAGTTCCAAAGTTTAAAAGAATATATAGGTTTTTAGGAATCATTTAAAAATTACTTTAAAAGAGGCCGGGCGCGGTGGCTCACGCCTGTAACCCCAGCACTTTGGGAGGCCGAGGCGGGCGGATCACCACGTCAGGAGATCGAGACCATCCTGGTTAACACGGTGAAACCCCGTCTCTACTAAAAATACGAAAAATTAGCCGGGCGTGGTGGCAGGTGCCCGTAGTCCCAGCTCCTCGGGAGGCTGAGGCAGGAGAATGGCGTGAACCCGGGAGGTGGAGGTTGCAGTGAGCGGAGACGGGGTCACTGCACTCCAGCCTGGGCGACAGAGCGAGACTCCATCTCAAAAAAAAAAAAAAAGTACTTTAAAAGAGTATAATCCTTATTTTATGTGATCACTAACTTTACTGTAATATTTTACCACTCGTTTCTTTTCTTGGAGAATGCAGAATTTCAATCATTTTTGATGGAAAATAATAGTAATTGGTCTTAGCACTCAAATAAAATGGTATCAGCATAAAACATTACGAACATTTTAAATTTCAATGTACAAAGATAATTACAGATTTAAAAATAAAATAACATTTTTCTATAAAATAATAATTATAATAACTGAACTTAAAATACTTAGAAACAGATTGGAATAGCATGCCTGATGAAGTCTTAAAACTAATACAAAGCTTATGCTGCATGTTTTGCTCTTTCAGAAAGGTAGGCTGGGCGTGGAGGCTCACACCTGTAATCCCAGCACTTTGGGAGGCCAAGGTGGGCAGATCACCTGAGGTCAGGAGTTTGAGACCAGCCTGGCCAACATGGTGAAACCCCATCTTTACTACAAGCACAAAAATTAGCCGGGTGTGGTGGCACACACTTGAAGTCCCAGCTATTGGGGAGGCTGAGGCAGGAGAATTACTTGAACCCTGGAGGCGGAGTTTGCAGTGAGCTGAGATCGTGCCACTGCACTCCAGCCCGGGCGACAGAAAAAGACTTCATCAAAAAAAAAAAAAAAGAAAGAAAGAAAGAAAGAAGAAAGGAAAGGAAAGGGAAGGAAGGAAGGAAGGAAAAAAGAAAGGTAAAGTGCCCATCCCTATATGCACACACATAACCCTGCTTCAGTCAAGAAACATTGTTACTTACACCATCTCTATGGACAAAGGGTCTATACACTCCACTGGCTATGAAATACATAAATATCTTTGTTTTTCCAGGGAATTTTTTTTTTTTTTGAGACGAGTGTCGCTCTGTCGCCCAGGCTAGAGTGCAGTGGTACGATCGTGGCTCCTTGCAACCTCTGCCTCCCAGGTTCAAGTGATTCTCCTGCATCAGCTCGCCAACTAGCTGGGATTACAGGCACCCGCCACCACGCCCAGTAATTTTTGTATTTTTAGTAGAAACGGGGTTTCACCATCTTGGCCAGGCTGGTCTCAAACTCCTGACCTCAGGTGATCCACCCACCTCAGCCTCCCAAAGTGCTGGGATTACAGGCATGAGCCACTGTGCCCAGCCTCCAGGGACTATTTTCTAAATGCTTGACAATGTAATGACACAAAATAGAAATACATTCCCATATTTGAACTGACTCTATTCGAAAAAAGAATTTTTAAATGTCTTTATCAGAAGAGATAAAAGAAGTTGCTGCCATTTAAGAGGTATTTTTGACTGTGAGTTGTCTGCTACTTCACCATCCTTGTCGGAGGATTTTCTTCCTTCATTTTGTAAGATGTTGGTGGATTGCAACCCTTTTAGCAGTGTGCACAGCATAGATTCCACATAGGGCCACTGAGGCCTCTTTTCCCACGCAAGGATCCTGAATACAGGTGCAGGGATCTCTACAACTCCTGCTCCTGGCAGGCATTTCCTACGAGGACGCAATGTATGCCAAAGGAGAATCAGACAGGCTTACTCTGCTAAAATTTATTCTTGTCCAAAAATGTCTCTTAGGAGAACTGTGGTTGTCATGTATGCCTTCGTCTTGTATGTTGATGTACATGTGTAAAGTTTGAGTCCTTCATTTGAAAGAATGGCTGTTAAAGGAGAGTTTAGGAGATCTGCTGAAACCTGGAAATAGATTGAATAATGGGTTAATCAAAGACTAAGGGATAAAGTCTCTGCCTATACTGATAATTCATTAGGAGTTTTCTTTCCCAGAAGACACTATCTCCACATACGGTGATGAATTCTCTCTTTTGATTCCCCGTGGGTCCTGGTTACATGGGCTTCAATTGTAACAGTTAAACAAACCTCCTTGTATATGCAGCCTATATTTTTATGCCTGGCTGGAGGGAATAACACCCCAAAGCCGCTGCAGCCTGTTGTGTGGTTGCTGGGAGAGTGAATTAACTGTTTTGATTTTGAATGAATATACCCCCAGCAAGCCATGTGGCCAAAATAGTTTCTTAGGTGTCAAGATGACCACATTTATGGAACTGGTAGTACACCCTTCCCAACACCCTGGGAACCTATGGGGCCAGGCGTTCCTTACCAAAACATGCAGCAATACAAGAACGGAACTCATAGCAGTTTTGCCTGCATGCCTTTCTTATTTCTGTTCTAATTTCCTTTCAACCATTCCTTTATTATCTTTATCTATCTTTCCAAAGAAGGAAAAGACATAAGGACATGTCAACCTGCCTTTACATTATTCTGTTGCTACCATATCTCCAGGAAAATTAGACCAATTAGTTTATTCAGATTGTCTACATCAGGAAGTTAAGAATCAGTAAAACCAGCTGATGAAGAGTTTTGTGCTCGATGTATTTCTCATGAGCAAAATATTTGCCTGAAGCCTTTGTTCAGCAGGTGGCCTTCCCTGATTTTCTCCAGTAGAAATGACTTTATTGCCTGAACAAATCTGCGACCAGTTTATGTTTAGGCACGTGGTTAGGGATGAGTGTGTGGTTTCTGTTCACTTCCTGGAGTGGGAATTCCTACACTGCAGATCATGAGAATGCTGAGGAGTCAGTTCCACTCAGGTGTGAGCTGAGGTCACCTAGACTGTGGCAAATGGATTCCAACTTGGTATGTGACACATAACAGCAGTTACAGCTTTCTCTTTGAGCTGAGGCATGTGTATCTAGAGATCTGTAAACATGTCCTAGAAGAAGAAAATAATTTTGAATTCAACCTCTTTCAAGGCAATAAACTTTTACCAAATTAGTTAGTCCAAAACTATTGAGGAAAATTAAATGGCATAGCTGAAATTCCTAAAGTACCAATTCTAGTAAAGAATTATGCTAGGCTGGGTGCAGTGGCTCACGCCTGTAATCCCAGCACGATTACGCTAGGCCGGGCGCGGTGGCTCACGCCTGTAATCCCAGCACTTTGGGAGGCCAAGGCAGGCAGAGCACTTGAGCCCAGGAGTTCAAGACCAGTGTGGGCAACATGGTGAAGCCTAGTCTCTACTAAAAATACAAAAATTAGCCAGGCGTAGTGGCCCACACTTGTAGTCCCAGCTATTCAGGAGGCTGAGGCACAAGAATTGCTTGAACCCAGGGAGCAGAGGTTGCAGTGGGCCAAGACTGCACCACTGCAGTCCAGCCTGGGCGACAGAGCAAGACTCTATCTCAAAAAAAAAAAAAAAAAAAAAAATGACTCTGGTAAGTGTCCCCTGTTGCCAGATGCTGATTTTTTCCATGACTATATGGAGATGAGGAGTGCGAGGTAGATTTCTTAAGCTAAGAGGGACACACATATGTATATACACATGTCTACATATATATGCTTAATATATATGTACTGATTATATCAATTTAACCAAGAAAATTAGTAACTTGTGTTGATTTCCAGTGGAGATTGAAAGGATCAAATCTTTTATTTTTATTAAGAATGAAAGGGTTGGAAATCTAATTTCTTCTTTATTTTCCTTTTTCTTCTTCACCAAGAAAATGAGGTTTTATTTATTTATTGTTATTTGCACCTGTTTTGTTCTTTCACTTCTTACAGCCAGTTGGCAACTGTGGCCCTGAACACTTTCGGTGCTGTTGCATATTTTTGAGAGATCAAGTAACACCAATTAGAGCAATAACTACAGTATATCTAGAGATATAACCAGTCGGTATCAATAACCACAGACATCACTTATATTTGCCTTCCCACAACACTTTCAGTTACATATAAAAAAATATACTGATACGGTTTGGTTCTGTGTCCTCACCCGAATCTAGTGTCTAATTGTAATCGCCAGTGTTGGGGGAGGGACTTGGTGGGAGGTGATTGGATCATGGCGGTGGACTTCCCCCTTGCTGTTCTCTTGATAGTGAGTTCTCACAAGATCTGGTTGTTTAAAAGTGTATAGCACTTCCTCCTTTGCTCTCTTCCTCCTGTTCCACCATGGTAAGACATGCTTGCATCCCCTTCACCCTCCGGCGTGATTGTCAGTTTCCTGAGACCACCCATCCATGTTTCCTGTACAGCCTACAGAACTGTGAGCCAATTAAACCTCTTTTCTTCATAAATTACCCAATCTCAGGTAGTTCTTTATAGTAGTGTGAGGATGGACTAATACATATACCTATACACACAGACATGTGCACAAACCCAAGTACTTACGGAATTTTTATTTAAATAAATGTATTTTGGCTGAGCACAGTGACTCATGCCTGTAATCCCAGCACTTTGAAACATTGAGGTGGGCGGATCACTTGAGGTCACGAGTTCGAGGTCAGCTTGGCCAACATGGTGAAACTCCGTCTCTACTAAAAATACAAAAATTAGCCATGTGTGATGGTGGGTACCTGTAATCCCAGCTACTCAGGAGGCTGAGGCGGCAGAATTGCTTGAACCCGAGAGGCGGAGGTTGCAGTGAGCCGAGGTCGTGCCACTGCACTCAAGCCTGGGCGATAGAGCGGGACTCTGTCTCAAAAATAAAAAATAAAAATAAATAAATAAATAAATGTATTTGCATACTTTTTAATTCAAGGAGTAATTTTGTAACAAAAATACACACCCATGGTTTATCTGGCAGCATCAGGAAAGTAAGTGCGGTTTTCTGGCCCATGTCAAAATCATTTGCCATAAAAATCATTGAATATTATATATCAGTTACTCTAAAATAGCTGATTTTTCTCTCTGTTCTGGCTATGTTTTAGCCCAAACACATTTGCCTCCTTTGGGTCCTAAAGTTTTCAACTGAAACATGTTTTCTCTCTTTTCCAAAATTGTTGTGCCTATCTGGACCTGCACAGTAGCCATTTAAAGACTGACAATTTATCTGTCATACAGACAACTTTGAAGATTCATAAAGCTTATTGATGCCTTTTGTTAGAAGAGTCCATTGATACTTAAGAGAATGCTAGAATGTAAAATTAACCTTCTCCCAATTTGCCAAGGGCATATTTTTCTGTAATAACTGGATTCACTATGCCTTCATACTAAAGGATTTGTAACACCACATCTATTGGAATCTTGTTGGGCTACATCTGTATGTGAAAGTGAGGCATCATCATTCAATCAGTCCTGATTGAGCTCATCACAGGACAAGCAGCATTTCAAACTCTGTAAGAGAGAAAACCTTTCATCTATTTCTTCCCATTACGAGATGACACTGGGAAAAGGAAAGGATGGCTGCACATTGAGGAAATATGGCCACTGAGCTCATCTCCCTTCCCCTACACTCCTCATCCACCTAGCTCCTCTTTTTCTGGTGCCTTCTCCTTAGAGCAGCAATGCCCAGGAGAACTCTCTGAGATAACGGGAATGTCCTGTATCTGCACCATCCAATACAGTAGCCACTGGTCATACAGATCTGTTCAGCACTTGGCAGAAAGGCCAGTGCAATTGATGGACTGTATTTTTTATTTCATTTAATTTAAATATTAGTGACCACTGGCTACCATGTTGGGTAGTGTGGCCTTATAGTTATTTGCATCTGGCTGGTTAAAGAAACATCTGTTCTTCTCAGACCCAATTTTTATAAGATGCTAAATCTTCTACAACAAAGAATAATCTAAGCAGTTATTACAATGTTACAAATTTTACATTTAATCATTCTGTAGTTTAATAATTTGATGGAAATTTAAGAACTTTAGAAGTTTTTCTTGGCTGGGCACAGTGGCTCACACCTGTAATCCTAGCACTTTGGGATGGCGAGGCGGATGGAGTTCATCTGAGGTCAGGAGTTCAAGACCAGCCTGGCCAGCATGGTGAAACCCTGTCTACTAAAGATACAAAAATTAGCCGGGCATGGAGGCGGGTGCTTGTAATCTCAGCTACTCGGGAGGCTGAGGCAGGAGAATGGCTTGAACCCAGGAGGTGGAGGTTGCAGTGAGCCGAAATTGTGCCGTTGCACTCTAGCCTGGGCAACAAGCATGAAACTCCGTTGTTTTTTGTTTTTTGTTTTTTTAAAAAAAGAGTTATTCTTATGCCTAAGCATGATTATACGAAATTCTTAGGGCGGGAGCAGTGGTTCACACCTGTAATCCCAGTACTTTGGGAGGCCAAGGCGGGCAGATCACTTGAGGTCAGGAGTTCAAGACCAGCCTGGCCAACATGGTGAAAACCTATTTCTACTAAAAATACAAAAATTATCCAGGCATGGTGGTGCATGCCTGTAATCCCAGCTACTCGGGAGGCTGAGGCAGGAGAATCACTTGAACCCAGGAAGCGGAGGTTGCAGTGAGCCGAGATCATGCCACTACACTCCAGCCTGGGTAACAGAGTGAGACTGTGTCTCAAAACAAAAAAAAAATAGAAATTTTTCTTCAAAGGAACATACATTCTGTAAGACTTAGTTTGAGATTAAAAGTGCTGTAATCATCATGGTAGTAAAATAATAAATGTGATATATCTTAACATTGCTGACATTTATTATAAATAAAAATATTATAAATAAAAATTACTTATTATAAATAAAAAGTAGTGTGTCCAGCTAATCTCCTATTGTTTAGTTAATAGATGACTTTTAGAATTTATTAGCTCAGCAGTTTGATGAAACATACAATTCTCATTTAATAGTCTACCAATTATATTCAGCTTTCGTCCTATAAAGAGATTATGTCTTACATTGCAAAGAGACATAAAATCATTGAGTTTTGTCATTTCAATATTTCAAATACATTGATGATGGAACAACATTGTCTGAAACACAAATGAGGCAGAGTTGCTATGCTTGAAAGAAAACTTTACAATGTCAAAACTTAGGTTTCGTTCTCATTCCCTTAATTGATGTGTGGTTCAAACGATGTCACCAAGTTAACCTCTCTCTTTCACAAAAATCAACTGAACTGCTCAATCTACATACAGACTTTGTGGCGGGGGGCACGCAGTAGGGAGAAGAAACTTTGAGAGGGAAAGCTTGGAAGGGTTAAGATTGTGAAAGGAAAATTTACTTGTTTTAGCCACTCCTCCCAGAAGGAAGCTTTGACCCCTAGGGAATCACTCCAGGAGCTTTTGCCATCCAAACCCACATTGTAGTCCCCCTGCAAAAAGTAGAGGCAGGTCATGCTGAAAGTAGCACACATGTAGGGTATGAAGCTCACAAAGGAGCTGGCCTATAATGCTCTGTCCACTTAAATAGCAATCTCAGCTGCATCCCAAGATTTTAGAAGTCTTTATCTCATCAGAAAGGGATCAAGAACAACTGCTTCTCTGCCTGGTGTATAGATCTGTGTATTCCATTCCTCCTGAGCTTTGCTTTGTTTCTTTCTTTTTTTTTTCTTCTTCTTCTTCCTTCTTTTGGGGGTGGATGGGTTCCATTGTCTATTGCTTTGCTTTTTTATTTTCCAACAAAGAAAACCCTGAGGATTAAAGAACATAATTTTTCCTTCTAGGCTCCTGGGTCGTTATGTTAAATTACACAATATTCTTCATTTCCCCATTAAGTACATTAATTTCCTAGACATATGCTTTGTCTTCATAATAGTCACAGATGTTAAGTTTCATGTATATGTATACAAAATAAAAAAAACTTAAGAAGCCACATGAAAGGCTTACTATGGGAGGTTAAATTTAATTACTATCACATATATTTACTTATGTAGTATTATTTATTGCTATTGAGGATGAAACTGACCTTTTTCTTCTCTTGTCCAAATTCCTATCTAAGGGGCCTAGGTGTCAGAGGCATTTGAACAAGAGCAATTCCATCTTCAACAGGGGCTGGGTAAAATAAGGCTGAGACCTACTGGGCTACCTTCCCAGGAGGTTAGGTGTTCTTAGTCAAAGGATGAGATAGGAGGTCAGCACAAGATTCAGGTCACAAAGACCTTGCTGATAAAACAGGTTGTGGTAAATAAAGAAGCCAGCCAAAATTCGCCAAAACCAAGACGGCTACAAAAGTGACCTCTGGTTGTCCTCGCTGCTCATCATACACTAATGATAATGCACTGGCATGTTAAAAGACACGTCCACCAGCACCACAACAGTTTACAAATGCCTTGGCAACATCAGGAAGTTACCCTATGTGGTCTAAAAAGGGAAAGAACCCTTAATTCCAGGAATTGCCCACCCCTTTCCTGGAAACCTCATGATGAATTCACGCCTTGTTCAGCACATAATCAAGAAATAACTATAAGTATATTTAGCCATTCAGCCCATGTTGCTGCTCTGTCTATAGAGTAGCCGTTCCTTTATTACTTTGCTTTCTTAATGAAATTGCTTTCACTTTATGGACTCGGCTATAATTCTTTAATCCGTGAGGTCCAAGGACCCTCTCTTGGGTTCTAGATTGGGTCCCCTTTCTGGTAACATAGGGAGTCATGGCTACAAACCATAAAATCTCTTCAGATGGGTTTTATTTAACCCTATATAACATGGCTTACTTTCCAATCTGACCCTGGCATAATTTCACATGACAGATAAAGAAGGAAATCAAAATATTTTACCCCCAAATATGTTTATTTGTAATATTTTGAAATGGCCTGCAAAGCCATTCTTGTGGAGGGAAATTCTACCTGTAAAGAACCTCTAATAATGTAAGTAGATCTTTCGCTGTTCCAGGCCCTCCCAATCCTGAAGAGAAACTGAGAGTCTAGCACCCTTTGGAGGGTCTGAATAAGAAACACTCGCTATCGATTGTCTCTAAGGGTGGCTTTGTCTACATAATAAGAATCCTGATCTCCACAACCCCTTATCTTGACGCAGCCACTCCTTTCTATTGATTCCAAGCCTTTAGATAACAACTCTTTCAACCATTTGCCAATCAGAAAATCTTTGAATCTGCCTATGACCTGTAAGTCCCAACCGTTCAAGTTGTCCCTCCTTTCTACATGGAACCAATGCATACTGCAAATGCATTGATTGATGTCTTATGTCTCCATAAAACATATAAAACCAAGCTATAGCTCAATGACCTTGGGAAAATGTTCTCATTACCACACGAGACGGGGCCTTGAGCCTTGGCCGCTCCTATTTGGCTCAGAATAAACTTCTTTAAATATTTTTATAGAGCTTGACTCCTTTCATCACTACTTTTGAAACTCAGGTAATAGTATCTCATAGTAATGAGAAATAATATCTTCTGATGTAAAATTCTATTTCTGTCCTGTCCTTGTGTATTTAAGGTTAATAATTGTCTCTTCCATATTAATGTATGTATCAATCATTCTTAAACTTTACAAGTGAATATCAGAAGTTTTCTAAGTTATTCTAGGCAAAGTCTGACAAAATAGAGTATCTGAGTATCTATTTATGTGTTCACTAAATATTTTATTTGAAGATTTTGATTGTTTTTGGTAGATGCTGTTACTCGGTGGTGGTTTAATATGTGCCTTTGACATCTGGAGTAGCATGTGGCAGTAGTATTGATGGCAGCGGCAGGAGCCAGGAACAAGAGGGAGCCCTACCCCTTCCAAGTTGGGGCAGGAGCTCCCTGGGTGCTGCTGCAGCCACTCTAGTCACAGCTGTGGACCCAGGTCTCCCCCTCCACAGAGCAGGCAGGAGCCCCGCCCTTCCAGGTGCAGCTGCAGCTGCCCAAGTCGTGGCTGCGGGCCGGACCTCCCTGTGCTCTTGGTGGTAGGAGGGAGGCAGAGGCAGGCAGGAGCCCCGCCCTCCCAGGTGCAGCTGCAGCTGCCCAAGTCGTGACTGTGGGCCGGGCCTCCCTGTGCTCTTGGTGGTAGGAGGGAGGCAGAGGCAGGCAGGAGCCCCGCCCTTCCAGGAGCCCCGCCCTTCCAGGTGCAGCTGCAGCCACCCAAACCGTGGCTGTGGACCCAGGCATGTCTGCACTCTCGGGGACCCAGGAAGGCCCCCCTTCTCCCCTCACAGGCTCCAGAGCGCCTGCTTGCACTGCCTGACTTCTTCCTGCTGTCAGCCCCTGCTCCAATCTTGGAGCAAAGTCGGGGCCAAGCCTGGGTGCTTTCACAGCCCAGCCGGGTGTGCACACACTCAGGGCGGTGCTAACATACCAGCCCCCTGTCGCCTTGGATCCCTCTGGACTTTGGGTGCTGATCAGCATAGGAGGGAAGTCAAGGGGGTGCTGAGGGAAGCTTGGCACTGGCCTGCAGGCACCCCTTGGCACCTACAGCCTGGGCACCAGGAACAGCAGGAAACAAACAGGTTCCAGGGTGGAAGGGCGGGGGGGGGGCGGGGCCTGGTGAGGCCTCACCTTCAGGCCAAGGGGGTCCTAAAGGCTGGTGACTGGGCTGCCAGTCCCGCAGACCAGAGTGGGAACTTGAGGTGCCTTTTCTGGATTTGCCCATGGACCAATTGGCATGCACTTCCTCCCCTCTGAGGCCCATAAAAGCTCCAGGCTCAGCTGGGACTGAGCAGACATTGGGATGACCTGCCAGCAGAGAGAAGCTACGCACTCCAGGGCCACTTCTCTGCTGAGAGCTGGAAAGATGACAGGGTGACTTGCCTGCAGAAAGGAGCTTTTCACTCCAGGGCCTCCTCCTTGCTAGGAGCTGAACACTCGTTGGAACACCCTGGCTGTGGAAAGGAGCTACCCACTGTGGGTCTCCTCTGAGCTGTTCTGTATCATTCAATAAAGCTTCTCTTTGGCTGGCTCACCCTCCACTTGACTGTGTACCTCATTCTGCCTTGTCGCAGGACAAGAACTCAGAACCCATTGAATGGCAGGGCTAAAAGAGCTGTAACACAAACAGGGCTGAAACATGCCCCTTGCTTGCCATGTTGTGGGCAAAGAGAATGAAAGAATAGCCGTGGCCCTTTGGGAAGCCCAGACCTGGGAGTTCCCTGAGTCAGGGCTGTGACTCCCTCTTTAGGTCCCTGTGGTTCTGGCATCTCTAAGCTTCCAGGCATCGCTGTGTTCCCTGGTGCCAGCCGTGGAAGGTGCTTGCAGTGCACCTGGTCCAGCTGCAGCCTTGCAGAGAGCTGGTGTCAGCACCTGGAGCTGCCCATCCCACTGCAGCAGCCGGCATGTCTAACTGCACTGTGGCCAGACCCAGTGCTCGCTCACACACCTCTTGCTGCCCCATGCCTGGCTCACCCCTGGCAGGCATGGGATCCAGGCTGGTAGCATAAGCCAAGCGCAACCTTCCAGGCCAAGTGTGTGGAACGAACCCAGAGTGCCCGATCAAAACTCAGGCAAAGGCACCACCGGCCAGAAAAGTGACACCTCAAGGATCCGGTAACAGTATGTGTATCACGCTTGTACGTGCATAGAAGTGACTTTGTATAATTTTACATTTTTTAGGTCGAATAATGAATGCCAATCAACAGGGTACAGAGGTTTATGATTTCCCTTTTTTTGAACTAAGGTTTAGTTGTCTCTTTTTGGACATTTCCGTTTATATATTGCAGGAAGTAATAACTTCTTGGCGCTTTTTTATTGACAAACAGGTCCTGATCTGGGAACAAGTTTTCTTTTCTGTCACTGCTGACTTATTTTTAGTCATTGGAATACAATTCCATTATATTCATTAACATGAGATTAATCAAATGAAAGATTTTTTAATTGAAAAGAATCAAAATTCATCTTTGTAAATAAGGCTTGAAACCACTAGCTAGACACAGATCTCAGGAATCACACCACAGGGTTAGAATTCTGTACTCTGTGGATGAAAAGAGTCAAACATCTACCACATACATTTAAGATATACATTGGTTTGGTCCAGAACGATGCACGAGTTGAGCGTGGGGCTGGGGGTGAGGGGGTGCTTCCGGTTTATAAGTAGATTTTTAAATTTTGTGGCAGGTAATTGGTCGAAAAAGTTACTATCAATAGAAACGAATGTTACAATAAGAGGTAGTGGAGACCAAAGTTTTTTTTCTGTTCTGTTTTGTTTTGTTTTTTGTTTTTGTTTTTTTTGAGACGGAGTCTCGCTGTGTAGCCCAGGCTGGAGTGCAGTGGCACGATCTCTGTTCACTGCAAGGTCCGCCTCCTGGATTCACGCCATTCTCCTGCCTCAGCCTACCAAGTAGCTGGGACTACAGGCGCCCACTACCGTGCCCAGCGAATTTTTTTAATATTTTTAGTAGAGATGGGGTTTCACCATGTTAGCCAGGATGGTCTCGATCTCCTGACCTCGTGATCCGCCTGCCTCAGCCTCCCAAAGTGCTGGGATTACAGGCATAAGCCACCGAAGTTTTATCATCCAGATTAAGCCTTCAGGTAGCAGGCTTCAGAGAGACTAGGTTGTAAATGTTTCTTATCAGACTTAAGGTCTGTGTTGATGTTAACACTGGAGGGTATAATGAGGCATGTCTGACCCCCACTTCCCTCCACGGCCTGAAGTAATCTTTCAGTTGCATTTTAGAGTGATCTGGCCTAGGAGGAAGTCCATTCAAATAGTTGGGGTGGCAAGGGGAGCTTAAAATTGTGTTTTTGGTTTAAAACTCCCAGAGGCAGAGCTCCGTGTTTAAGAACAAGAAGCTGGGACAAGAGCTTAGCTCTATAGAAATAGCCAAGTCTAAGGCCACAGGTAGCTCTAGATATGAGGAAGTAACAATTCTTCTACAAATGGAGTGCAGGCTTCTTGTGATTTTTTCCATTAAAACAAAACTACATAGATAGCCTTAGGTTTTAAAATACTGCCTTTCTATGTGTAGTGCATAGTTTAGGTGTGTAGTTCTTAGAGACAAAATTTTGCACTGCATTCAGCTTTTATTGCTAGTCAGTTCAAACACCATAGTTCCTCTGAGTTAACTTCTTTCTTTTAGCAATAACAGCAGTCATTTAACATAGTACTATATGCTATCTCGATTCTCAGGATGCTCTGTAAGGTAGACTTTATTATTCCTGTTTTACATGGGAGAAATTAAATTTCAGAATGTCTAAGTGGGTTTTCCAGGATCATATACCCAAATTTATCTGAATCCAAGGCAAGTACTCTTTGCATTTACACTATAAAACTTCATCTCTGTAACCTTACCTTGGTCGGACAAGACAGGGGCTAAATCAAGGAACCCTCTTCCATTCAGATTTGCCTTCAATTTTCATAAAACACATTTTGGTCTCCTAATACACTTAAGCACTGTGAATCATAAAAAGTTAACATTTAATGAGGCACTTGCCTGGCATATAGAGTCTCTCTACTCCTTGCTTCTCCTTTCCCTCCTCTGTTACCGCAGTGGCTTTGTTAAACTGGAATAGAGGAATGAAAAATAAAATTAATTGATAGCAGTACTGGCTAAAGATTGCCAAAGCATAAGACATGAATAAAATTTAGTCAAGGGATATGGAATTTTAATTTATTCTTATTAGTCTATTCAGGCTACCATAACAAAATTTCATAGATGGGGTAGGTTAAACAACAGAAATTTATTTTCTCACAGTTCTGAAGGCTGGAAAGTTCAAGATTAACGTTCTAGCCAGTTTGGTTTTTGGTGAGCACTCGCTTCCTGGCTAGTGGACAGCTGCCTTCTCACGGTGTCCTTGCATGGTGGGAGAAGAGAGAGATAGAGGAAGAGAGTTTTTCGATGCCTCTTATAAGGACACTAATTCTATTGTATCATTGTATCAGGGCCCTATCCTTATGAAGGCCATGTTACAGTCACATAAGAAGTTAGGGCTTCAAGATATGAATTTTGGACAGACACAATTCAGTCAATAGCACTCCTAATTTTTCTATTTATTATACTGTGCTTGTCTGAGAGTAGAGCAGGTATGTCATTGTCATGAAAATCACATAATCCATCCAGAGCTTGAATAGTAAATCACTGGAGAGGAATTTATATACATTTTGTTTACTTTGATTTTAAATAAAGTTTTTTGAGACGCGATCTCACTCTGTCACTGAGGTTGGAGTGCAGTGGCACAGTCATGGCTCACTGCGGACTTGACCTCCCCGTTTAGCCTCCCGAGTAGCTGGGACTACAGGCACATGCCACAACACCAGGCTAATTTTCGTATTTTTTTGTAGATATGAGGTTTCACCATGTTTCCCAGGCTGGTCTCAAACTCCCCTGCTCAAGCAATATTAACACCTTGGCCTCCCAAAGTGCTAGGATAACGGGCATGAACCACTGCACCCGATACAAAAAATTTACATTACATATAAATATGTTTAACTTATTAATAAAATTTATTGTCATTCAAAAAGAAATAATCATTGTTAACTATTTCTTCAAAAGTAATGATTTGGCCAGGCGCGATGGCTCACACCTGTAATCCCAGCACTTTGGGAAGCTGAGGCGGGTGGATCACCTGGGGTCAGGAGTTCGAAACCAGCCTGGCCCACGTGGTGAAACCCCGTCTCTACTAAAATTTCAAAAATTAGCCAGATGTGGTGGTGGGCACCTGTAATCCCAACTGCTCGGCAGGCTCAGGCAGGAGAATCGCTTGAACCTGGGAGGTGGAGGTTGCAGCTAGCTGAGATCACACCACTGCACTCCAGCCTAGGTGACAGAGCGAGACTCCATCTCAAAAAAAAAAAAAAAAAAAAGGTATGCTCTGACTCGAAAGTGCTCAGAATTTACAATTGACATATAAATATTGTAAAACAAAATTCACATTTAAACCAATCCAACCTATATTCAGGCCAGAGAAACACAATTCTACAGGTATCATGGGAAATATGTGCTTTATTCCCTATAAAAACGTATTAGTTATTGTGATGGTTAATATTGAGTGTCACCTTCATTGGATTGAAGGATGCAAGGTATTGTTCTTTAGTGTGTCTGCGAGGGTGTTGCCAAAGGAGATTAACATTTGAGTCAGTGGACTGGAAAACGAGACCTACCCTCAATCAGCTGCCAGCAAGGACTCAATAAAAGCAGGGAGAAGAACATGGAAAGACTAGACTGGTTTAATCTTGTGGCCTACATATTTCTCCCATGCTGGATGCTTCCTGCCCTCGAACATCAAACTCCAACTTCTTCAGCTGTGAGACTCCGACTGGAGTCCTTGCTCCTCAGCTTGCAGATGGCCTACCTGCAAGTGGGACCTCACCTTATGATCGTGTGAGTCAGTACTCCTTGATAAACTTCCCTTTCTATCTACATCTATCCTATTAGTTCTATCCCTCTAGAGAACCCTGACGAATACAGATTTTGGTATCAGGAGTGGTTCTAGAGGAACAGAATATTAAAGATGGAGGTCTTTCATTGGTTTTGGGGTTTCTGGAGTTGGCTGGTTAGTATGATTAGACCCAAAAATGCTAAGGACCCTACTTCTAATAGTATGGAGAACAGCGATAGTCCTTGGCATGAACTGTTTAGAGAGTTATGCGAAATAAATGCGTCTGATACTCCTGATACACTGCTCATGAAAGGCAAGGAGTTTAGTGACACTATACATAATACTTTTGACCATATGTGGAGAACCAAGGAATGTAATGAAGTTGATTGGTTGCTTCTAAGTTCACTGGCCAAAGTAGTGAAAGAAAATGATGAACTCAGGGATTCTAACTCCCAACTTCAGAAGTAGATACTGAGCCTCAAATCTTCTAAGATTGCCCTGAGCAAGAGTCTTATCTCCTGTAGAGAAAGAGCTGAAATTGTGGAAAATCAGACACAAGCTCTTATCATGTGCGTGGCTGACCTGCAATGAAAGGTGCACACACACCCTTGCCAGGTGTCTGCTGTTAAGGTGAGGGTATTGATTGGAAAAGAATGGGAACCTGCAACTTGGAATAGGGACATGCAGGAGGACCCTGATGAAACTAGGAACACTGAGCTGGTGAAATCTGATGAGCCTCTTTTGCCAGAAGAAACAACTTCCCTATCCCCAGTAGTGGCAACATCCCCTCCCCGGCCCACACTGCCATCAGCCTTTCCATCTTTGCATGAGGAGATAAACCCTGTGTGCCTGAGGCAACCACGATGGCCTCCCCTGAGGCAGTTGCCAGGCAAGACAATGTTGATTCTTCTCATTTCCCACCTGCAACACCCTTGTTTGCTTCTAGACCTATCCCTAGACCAAAGTCCTGGTGGGCACCTAGAGGTGAAGCTCAGAGTGTGACCCATGAGGAGGTGCGGTACACTCCAAAAGAACGGCTTGAGTTTTCTAATTTATGCAAAAAGCAGAAATCTGGAGAACAGGCATGGGAATGGATATTAAGAGTGTGGGATAATGGTGGAAGGAACATAGCGTTGGGTCGGGATGAATTTATTAATTTGGGCCCACTAAGCAGGGATTCTGCATTTAATGTTGCCGCTCAGGGAGTTAAAAAAGGCTCTAATCATTTATTTGCTTGGTTAGCTGAAATATGGATTAAAAGATCCACTGTGGGGCCAGGCGCGGTGGCTCACGCCAGTAATCCCAGCCCTTTGGGAGGCTGAGGCAGGCAGATCACAAGGTCAGGAGATCGAGACAATCCTGGCTAACACAGTAAAACCCCATGTCTACTAGAAATACAAAAAATTAGCTGGGCGTGATGGTGGGTACCTGTAGCCCCAGCTACTCGGGAGGCT
Source organism: Homo sapiens (assembly GCF_000001405.40). NCBI lineage: Eukaryota > Metazoa > Chordata > Mammalia > Primates > Hominidae > Homo > Homo sapiens. The sequence continues at coordinate 98,585 of NC_000010.11, read as the reverse complement.
GAGGCAGGAGAATGGCATGAACCCGGGAGTCAGAGCTTGCAGTGAGCTGAGATCGCACCACTGCTCTCCAGCCTGGGCGGTAGAGTGAGACTCCATCTCAAAAACAAACAAACAAACAAAAACACTGTGAATGAGCTAGAAATGCCTGATCCCCTTCGGTTTAATGTAGAGGAGGGATCCAAAGGCTTAGGGAGATTGGGATGCTGGAGTGGATTAGTCACTTCAGACCTAGTCATCCCAGCCGGGAGGGTCCAGAAGATACACCCTTAACCTATACTTTTTGAAATACATTGTGGCTTCAGAGAGAATAGATGGCAAATGTTTCCTATCAGGCTTAAAGAGTCTGTCCTAACAGTCTTAAGGTCTGTGTTGATGTTAATGGTAATAAGACATGTCCAACTCTCCCTTCCCATCATAGCCTGAACTCGTTTTACAGGTTAACTTTAGGATACCCTTGGCAAAGAGGAAATGCCATTCAGATGGTTGGGGAGCTTAGAATTTTATTTTTTGTTTACAGTAGGTGTTTAAATAAAGAGAATGGATAAAATCACTTAGGAAAGGTATTTAGAAAGAAGACAATACTAACACTAATTCTTAAAATCAAGAGTACATACATACATACATGTGTATCAACCCTCAATGCGCAAAATATATTACCATCTATAAACACTCAGGCATACTCATAAGTTTTCCTTTAGGCCTATTCGTGAGAATCACTGAATTATTTAGTTGCTTCTTAAGTATGCTTTTCTTTCTTTTAAATTAGGGATCTTCAAAGAAATTGGTCTGATATGGTTTGACTCTTGTCCCCACCCAAATCTCATCTGAAATTGTAATCCCCACATGTCAAGGGAGGGACCTAGTGGGCGGTGATTTGATCATGGACGTGGTTCCCCCATGCTGTTCTCATGATAGTGAGTGACTTCTCACGAAATCTGATGGTTTAAAGGTTGTATGATCCCCCTGCCCCCTCATGACACCACGTAGGATGCACCTTGCTTCTCCTTTGCCTTCCACTGTGATTGTAAATTTCCTGAGGCCTACCCAGCCATGCAGAACTGTGAGTCAATTAAAACTCTTTTCTTTCTAAGTGACAGTCTCAGGTAGTTCTTAATAGCAGTGTGAAACAAACTAATACAGAAAATTGGTATTGAGAGAAGTGGGACATTTCTATAAAGATACCTGAAAATGTGGAAGTGACATTGGAACTGGGTAACAGGCAGACATTGGGTAACAGGACATGACATTGGAACTGGATAATTGGATCAGTTTGAAGGCCTCAGAAGAAGACAGGAAGATGTGAAGGTTTGGAATTTCCTAGAGACTTGTTGAATGGCTTTGACCAAAATGCTAGTGATATGGACAATGAACATCTAGGCTGAGGTGGTCTTAGATGAAGATGAGGAACATATTGGGAACTGGTCTAAAGGTCACACTTGCTATGCTTTACCAAAGACAATGGTGGCATTGTGCCCCTCTCCTAGAGATCTGTGAAACTTTGAACTTGAGAGAGATGATTTAGGGTGTTTGGCAGAAGAAATTTCTAAGCAGCAAAGCATTCAAGATGTGACTTGGCTTTTTCTGAAAGCATACAGTCATATGCATTCACACAGAGATGATCTGAAATTGTAACTTATGTTTAAAAGAGAAGCAGAGCATAAAAGTTTGGAAAATTTGCAGCCTGACCATGTGATAGAAAAGAAAAACCCATTTTCTGGGGAGAAATTCAAGCTGGCTGCAGCTTAATTTGCCTAAGTTAAGAGAAGCCAAATATTAATCACCAAGACAATGGGGAAAATGTCTCCAGGGCATGTCAGAGATCTTCACAGCAGCCCCTTCCATCACAGGCCTGGAGGCCTAAGAGGAAAAAATGGTTGTGTGGGCCAGGTCCAGGACCCCACTGCTCTGTGCAGCCTTGAGAATTGGTGCCCTGCATCTCAGCCACTCCAGTTCCAGCTGTGGCTAAAAGGGGCCAAGGTGCAGCTTGGGCCATAGCTTGAGAGGGTGCCAGCCCCAAGCTTTAATGGCTTACACGTGGTGTTGGGCCTGCAGGTGTGTAGAAGGCAAGAACTGAGCTTTAGAAGCATCTGCTTAGATTTCAGAGGATGTATGGAAACAAGTGAATGCCTAGGCAGAAGTCTGCTGCAGGGGTGGAGCCCTCATGGAGAACCTCTACTAAGGCAATGCAGAAATGAAATGTGGTGTTGGAGCCCCCACACAGAGCCCCCACAGGGGCACTGCCTAGTTGAGCTGTGAGAAGAGGGTCACCATCCTCCAGACTGCAGAATGGTAGTTCCATTGACAGCTTGCACCGTGCACCTGGAAAAGCCACAGGCACTCAGCACCAGCCCATGAAAGCAGCTGCAGGGGCTGTGCCCTGCAGAGCCACAGGGGCAGAGCTGCCCAAATCATATGCAAATTTCTAAACCTGGCTTGAGTTTCTTCCCAGAAAATGGATTTTTCTCAAGGCCTTGAGAGCCCACCTTTTGCATCAGCATGCCCTGTATGTGGGACATGGAGTCAAAGGATATTACTTTGGAGCTTTAAGATTTAATGACTGCCCTAGATTTGGCACCATGCTTGTACAGCCTGCAGAAATGTGAGCCAAATAAGCTTCTTTTCCTTATAAATGACCTGGCCTCAGGCATTTTGTTGAGCAACACAAACAGACTAAGACAGTAGAAATCCTTGTCTTGTTCCAGATCTTACAGGACAAGCTGTAAGTATGATGTTAGCAGTTGGCTTCTCATAAATGAACTTTATTGTGTTGAGTTACAGTTCTTTTTCTTCTTCAAAAAAATTGCACTCAGGGGTATCCTTAAAGAGGTACACGCCTTCTATGTCTAATCTGGTGAAAGGTTTTTTTCATCTCTCTCTCTCTCTCTTTGCTTAGAGAATGGAAGATAAGAGTTTTTATCATACAAGGATATTAAATTTTGTCAAATGGTTTTTGGCATCGAATGAGATCATTATATGGTTTTTGTCTTTAAATTCTGTTAATGTGGCATGTCACATTTATTGATTTGCATATGTTGCAAATATCATATTGGCATACCATCCTTGCATTCCAGTGATAAAACCATTTCTTAAAAGAAGACATGCAAATAGCTAACAGCTATATGAAAAAATGCTCAGCATTACTAATCACTAGAGAAATTAAAATTAAAACCACAATGAGATATCATCTCTCACCTGTCAGAATGTCTTTTAAAATGTTTATTAACCAACTTATACATCCTGAACATGTACCCCAGAACTTCAAATAAAATAAAAATTAAAATTAGAAAAGATTTAATGACTGCCCTGTTGGGTTTTGGACTTGTATGGGACCTGTAGCCCCTTTGTTTTAGCCAATTACTCTCATTTGGAATGGGAGCATTTATTCAATGCCTGTACCCCCATTGTATTTTGGAAGTAACTGACTTGCTTTTGATTTTACAGGCTCATAGGCAGAAGGGACTTTCCTTGTCTCAGATGAGACTTTGGACTTGGACTTTTGAGTTAATGTTGGAATGAGTTAAGGCTTTGGGGGACTGTTGGGGAGGCATGATTGTGTTGTGAAACGTGAGAAAGACATGAGATTTTGGAGGGGCCAGGGATAGAGTGATATAGTTTGGCTCTGTGCCTCACCCAAATCTCATCTCAAATTGTAATCCCCATGTGTCAAGGAAGGGACCTGGTGGAAGGTGATTGGATCATGGGAGTGGTTCCCCCATGCTGTTCTCATGATAGTGAGGCAGTTTTCATGAGATCTGATGATTTAAATGTGTGTGGCAAATTCCTCCTCTCTCTCTCCTGTTGCCCTGTAAGACGTGCCTAGCTTCCCTTTCACCTTATGCCATTATTGTAAGTTTCCTGAGGCCTCCCTAGCCATGCAGAGCTGTGACTCAATTAAACCTCTTTTCTTTATAAATGACCCAGTCTCAGGTAGTTCTTTATAGCAGTGTGAAAACTAACTAATACCTAGTCAGAAAATTTCTTTTAAGTAAATCTTCTGTCTAAACAAAAATAGCTTTAAGAAGTTGACAAGATTAATTCAGGACATAGAAGATTCTGGTTAGAATTGGATGTTAGGTTAAAGACAGGGTCCTGGGGTGCTAAAGAACAAAGTAGAAAGAAAGCCCTGGGGACAGGGAAGGAATTTGTGCTTTTATCATACAAAAGGGAACTTCTGAGAATAAACATGTAGTCTCATGACTTTATTATTTTCCTAAAGCCAGAAGCCTTTTATTTTGCTTTTCTTTAACAAGCTACACTCATTATTCAGCTTAAGGTCCTTCACTGAGCAGCCATCCCTTAATACAGAGTTTATATCCCAGTAGATTCAATTTTAAAACAAAGTTCCCTGAGATAGTATCTATATTGTATTTTAGACCAAATAGTGGATCATGTATACTAGGGTTTCCTCTACCCCACTAATATTGTGATTTTACTAAGAAAATCTCTTCATTTTTAGACCTGGTTTGTTCTTTAACATTTCACTATTATTTATTATTTTTAGTTTAAGTCCATTTCCAGAAGTTTTCTACCACACATAATTTTATTAAGGTATTTAAATTGGATTCGGTTTAATATCATTTTAAACAAAACCTTCATTTTTGTCTTTGAATTAGTACCGTATTTGCTTTTTAGAAGTAATTACTGTTTCCTAGCACTCAGCAATTTAAAAAAATAACTGGCTTTGTAGACAAACCAACTTTTGCAAATAACTTATGTAAAACTACTTATTTAAAATTTCCTAGGGATCCCCTCTCCTGTTTTGCAGAATGAAGTGTGTGTGTGTGTGTGTGTGTGTGTGTGTGTGTGTGTATGTGTGTGTATGTGTTTAAACCAACACGCAAATTTTGCAGAATGACATTTCTTTCTTTTTTTGTCCGGTTAAAAGCTAAAAAAAAATGACTGAACTTATCCATTAAGAGTCACAACATTTTCATGGTTAATTGGTGGTCTTTTTTCCCCTGAGATTAATTCAATATTCTGTTCTGTATTAATTTCCCCCAGAAAATTTATGGTATAATGCATCTTGTTTTTATATGTATTCTAACAATTTTCTATTTTTATATTTAGTTGTTTAAAGAAGACCTTAAAGAAACACAAATTGGATTTTTCAGATTTATTTTCTCCATCTTTTAATTATGGAAAATTGCAAACATAAAAGTCGGTGAAGAGAGGGAGTGATTCATTTTCATGTACCTCTTATCCAAGTTTAACAATTGTGAACACGTGGTCAATCTCACTACATTTTTATATATTTTTACTTTAGTTGGCTTGTTTTTTCTTGTGTTTATTTAAAATGCTCTAACTTTATCTCCTGTTGTATTCAACATTTTACCCTAATTTTTGTGTACAAAACTGACCATGTTTCTCAATTACTTTAAATTTACTGTTAGTGGGAACCAATTTGTTTGGTTTTGCTTTCTCAGGCATTATTCATACTTCATGGTGAACATTTGGATGGGTGTTCGGGGACTCTTATATGTGTCGACAAGAAGCATTTCTGATTTAGGCCTACCTGGATTCTGAGTAGAGGAAAAACTGGTGAAACCAGTTTGACTGACATAGGAAATGTGACTAAAAATAGTACATTTTTCAAGTTCAGTGAAGGTTGAAACTGACAATTTTAAGTTTCCTAACAATGGCTACACCATCAACTCTATTCCTTTGTGTTTTTCTTTCTTTGCATAAGAGGAACATTGAAGCAAGGAGTCCAGATATCATTGACTGTGTGAGGGAGGTTGGCTTCTGTTACTTTAACAAGCTCTCATTTTCTTATTCTTCCTAGTGTCCAAGGAATGCTGTGGATATTAGAGATTTATTAAAATGTCAGCGAGTCATAGGTTACTGGTTCATATATTTTCTACAATGAATTAATTAATGACATTAATGATGCCATATGGGTCACTTTAAACAGTGTCATATAAAAGTTAGGACACATTTAAAAGGGTATCATATCCAGATATCGTATCTGCAGACCTGTGCCTCCCAGTCCATGGAGCAGACAAGAGCCTTGTCCCCCCAGGCACAGCTGCAGCTGCCCAAACCACGGCTGTGGACCCAGGCATCCCTGCACTCTTGGGGGCCCCCAGGAAGGCCCCCTTTCCCTCACAGGCTTGGATGTGTGTGCTCCCACTACCTGGCTTCTCCCTGCTGTCAGTGCCTGCTCCAGTCTCAGAGCAGACACTCTCACAGCCCAGCCAGGTGTGCACACACTCAGGGCAGTGCTGACACGCCAGCCCCCAGCCTTGGCCCACTACAGAGTTTGGGTGTCGATAAGCATTGGAGGGAAGCCAAGGGGAGCTGAGGGCAGCTTGGTGCTGGCGTGCAGGCACACCTTGGCACCTATAGCATGGGTGCCATGAACAGCAGCAGGAGGCAAACAGGTTCCTGGGCAGAAGTTGGTGGGTCCCCAGTGAAGCCCCACCTTCAGGCCAGGGAGGACCTTAAGGCTGGTGAGTGTGCTGCCAATCCCATGGATCAAAATGGGAACTTGTGGTGCCTTTTTCCGGGCCACCCATGGCCACACATGGACAAATCAGTGCGCACTTCCTCCCCTCTGAGGCCCATAAAAGCTCCCGGTTCAGCTAGAGCTGTGCAGGCATTAGGACAACCAGCTGCAGAGAGGAACTGTCCACTCCAGGGCCTCCTCTGAGCTATTCTGTCACTCAATGAAGCTCCTTTTCACCTTGCACGCCCTCCACTTGTCCACATACCACATTCTTCCTGGACACAGGACAAGAACTCAGGACCTCCCAAATAGCAGGACTGAAAGAGCTGTAAGACAAACAGGGCTTAAATACGCCCCTTGCTTGCCACATTGCAGGCAAAGAGAAGGAGAGAAATTCTGTGGCCCTTCAGGGTGCCCGGACCTGGGAGCTCCCCACGCCAGGGCTGTGACTCCCTCTTTGGGGCCCTATGGTTCCTGAAGTCTCCAAGCTTCGTGGTGCCACTGCATTCCTTAGTTCCAGCTGTGGAAGCTGCTGGCAGTGCACTTGGTCCAGCCACAGCCTCATAGACAGCCAGCACCCGCGCTGGCACCTGGAGCTGCCTGCCCCACTGCAGCATACTTGACTGTGTGCAATGGCCAGAACCCACGCTCACTCACTCATAACACCTCTCACCACTCCATGGTTGGCTCGCCCTTGGCAGGCAGGAGATCCAGGCTGGGAGCATGAGCCAAATGCAGCCTGCCAGGCCGAGTGAGCAGAATGAGCCCAGTGGGCCTCAGCAAAATTCAAGGAAAGGCGCCATTGGCCACAAAGGTTTCCAGCCAGAAAAGTGACACCCCAAGGATCCTGTAAGAATGCCTGGCTAAATTTTTTTTTTTTTTTTTTTTTGGAATGAGAGTCTCACTCTGTTGCCCAGACTGGAGTGCAGTGGTGCAATCTTGGCTCGCTGCAACCTCTGTCTCCCGGGTTCAAGCAGTTATTGTGCCTCAGCCTCCTGAGTAGCTGGGATTACAAGTGTGCACCACCACACCTGGCTAATTTTTGCATTTTTAGTAGAGGCGGGGTCTCATCATGTTGGCCAGGCTGGTCTCAAACTCCTGATCTCCAGTGATCCACCTGCCTCGACCTCCCAAATTGCTGGGATTACAGGTGTGAGCCACTATGCCTGGCCTTGTATTTTTGGTACAGATGGGGTTTCACCATGTTGCCAGGTTGGTCTCAGACTCCTGAGCTCCAGCGATTCACCCGTCTTGGCCTCCCAAAATGCTGGGAATACAGGCATGAGCCGTTGCACCCAGCCAGAAGGCATTCTTTAAGAGCACACAACACAACTCAAATTCACGTGTTAAAATTGTTTATATGTCTGTTTCTGTGTTGAGTCCATAATACCAAGGGCACAGTCTGTATTTTATTCATCTCTGTGTATGCCTTACAAACAGTAAACAGAACATTTATGTCCAAGTGAATAAAGGAGTGAGGAGATCGATATTTATATATAATGTCTACACACCAAATCACTTGTTTAGAGTACTTAGACATAGCAAACTTATTTTGAGTGAGACCACTAGGTTGTAAAACAGTGATGGTCTTTGTAAATGATGTTGCAGATGAAAATTTGAGGATAGTAGTTGTTTATGTACTTCCTGTGAAGTACTACAGGCCATGCATTGAGGATTAGAAATTCATTACCCACTTGTGAAGTTTTAGAAAGAGAATGCTTACAGGAAGCACATCATGACCAAGGTTCAGGAAAGAGGGTAAACACTAGGGATGAGATTGCATCTGCATATATTTTGTCTACAAGGGCAGCCTCTAAAGACTTCAGAGCACACAGAATAAGGGCATTGCAGTGTTAGTGTGCCAAGAGCACCTAAGAATATTGTGCAAATAGAAAGCATGTGTGTGCTGAGAATTAACCGGAAAAATAGCCTTTTAAAGAGTAACCTTTATCTGGAAGTTTGGAAAATTGAGTAGTTTTGGTAACTGAAGATAACTTTAAAAGTTAAGTTGCTTTGAAAATATCATTTTGCAACACTAAAAAAAGTTGGAATAATTCTCTCTGCTTTTTAGTTGTTTTAATATCCTGGACCCGTGTGCAAATAATTTATTTTATTTAGCTAGATATGTTATTTTTTTAATTATTAACCTTATAGAAATATATTTCTTCTTTATATTTGAATATGACATGACACACCATCTTTATTTCCTAGCAGTTGATGAGGGATATTCTGCTCTCATTTTAAGATTAAGAGGTTGCTAAATAAGAAAGTAGCAGGCTGGGAGCATGTGCCTGTAGTCCTATCTACGTTACTTGGGAGGTTGAGGTGGGAAGATTACTTGAGCCTGGGAGTTTGGGGTTACAGTGCATGATCGTGTTTGTGAATAACACTGTGGCCTGGGCAAGATAGATCTTGTCTCTTTTAAAAAAGCAATTAAAATGAGATTTTCAGAAAACACTTATTTGCACATGATGTTGCATATGTGAATCCAGTGTTTCAAAGAGCAGCATGAAGAGGTAGAGACTAAATTTGAAGACACATTTATTCTGTATAAATCAGACCACGCAATCATTTTCTTGCTAGACAGGAAAATCTCTCTCCTTTCCTAGTAGCTTAATATGTTAACATTACTGGGAAAGATTCTTAAGCAACAGTTTCCATCCATGTATTATTTTTAGCTCTGAATATGTAAAGAGCCCTAGGACATAGTACAAGTATGTCTCAGGTATGTATTATTCTTTTTGTCAGTCGTAGCTTGGATGAATGATATTTTCAATATATCAGCAATCTACACAAATGGCCTGCTACTGTTTAGTTGTTTAAGAAAAACCCTATGCCACCCATCTCCCAGCAGGGGTGTGTGTGTGTGTGTGTGTGTGTGTGTGTGTGTATGTGAGTGAATGTGTGTTTTCCCAAGGTTGGGATTTTGTTTCAAGTTGGTGATGAATAATGAGAAATTGAGCTAGTTGTAGAATAATTTACTGTAAAGCTTTATAATGTTCTTTGCTCTGGGGTTATCTTATCTTGGGAGGCAAATCCAGAAACACCAGTGATCAGTTCTGATTGGCCAGGAAGAACAGCCCCTTCTGGCCACCTTCTAGAGAGCCTGTCTACCTTCTAGAGAGCCTGTCCACCTTCTAGAGAGCCTGTCTACCTTCTAGAGAGCCTGTCCACCTTCTAGAGAGCCTGTCCACCCTCTAGAGAGCCTGTCCACCTTCTAGAGAGCCTGTCCACCCTCTAGAGAGCCTGTCTACCTTCTAGAGAGCCTGTCTACCTTCTAGAGAGACTGTCCACCTTCTAGAGAGCCTGTCCATCTTCTAGAGAGCCTGTCTACCTCAGGGCTGTCCCTGGAAAGAGTGTAGGTCTTACACTCTAAGGCAGATTCTTAGAGTGTAGGTCTTTCCCAATTATCCCAGCATTGTAATCTTTTAGAGCTGCCTGTAAAAGATGTCTTGTCCAATTATCTCACTTCATAGAAGAAGAAATTAAAGGTTAGCCCAGACCTGCTGGCTTTGTTTTTTGGCAGGGGTCCTGCTCGTCACCCAGGCTTGAGTGCAGTGGCATCATCTCACCATCTCAGTTCATTGCAACCTCTGCCTCCTAGTGACATCCACGAGCAGGGAGCCTGCAGGTCTGGGTGTGTGCACGTGCCCTGACTGCCTGGCCCTGTGGTCAAGGATGGGGGAAGGCAGCTCTGCCTGCAGCTCCACCCCCTTTATAAAGCACTGTGGTGCCTTCTGCTGGGGCATGTGCTGAGTGGTGCCTCGCAGGCACTGCCCTCAGGAAGTTCACTGGCTTGTGTAGAAGCTGGTAGGAATGTGCTAAGAACAGAGGTGTCAGCAGCCAGGTATTGGGCAGGTCCCAGGTCTCTGAGCCTCAGTTTCCTCATCTGCAGGAGGGTGGTAACCCTGCCCTGCTCAGCTTACCAGGTACAGATGTAAGTTTTCAGTGCAGAGGAAAAGCAGAGACCTTCCCCTCAGACGGCCATATTGCCTTGTTGCTGTACCCAACACTCCAGTGCTCCCCCAGGGGGTGTCCTGGCCTCCTCCTTTGTAGCTCTCAGGTGTCACATGTGGGTCCTGGCCTACCATCCCCTCTCCCTGTCTAGAAATGAGGCCTGCTGAGCTTGGAGCTGCCCCACTCCCTGCTCTCAAGCCATCTGCTCCTGGGTTAGCCTGTGGCTGGCCTGGCCTGATTCTACACCGACGTGGGCGTTTCTCCACTGCTGGGGCAGCGGTCGGCCATCCTGGGGCCTGGGTCAGCTCTCAGCTGTGGCCATTGTGCCTGTGCTTCCCCCAGGTCCTGGTGGTGACTCCAACCCTGCCCTCAGATATCCCAAGAGCAGGCTGACTGTCTTCCCCATTCCCACCTTTCCAGTAGCTGCTGCAAGAAGGGACAGACCCTGCTGCAGAGAACTTGCCACGGCGTTTCATGCTGCGGCTGTTGGGGCCAGGCTGCACGCTCCATTCTGGGGAAGAGTGAGGATTCCTGATCATCGGTCTTAACAGGGGACTGTCCAGTGGGTACCTGGATAGGCTGCCAGGAGTAGGGTGGAGTGGGGTTAGAGTAGTGCCTGCTGCCCGTTGAGGGTGTGTGGGTTCCTTAAGGGTGCGCGTGCTGTAGTCTGCGTGTATGCTGTAGTCTGGGTGCATGTCTGGTTTTTTTCTCCTCCTTATCACTAATCAGTCTTGTGTAACCAGGTTGGCCCTGCTTCCTGCCTACGGGTTATGGGTGTATCAGTGGAGCTGCAAACGGGGTGATAGGGCGTCAGCAGCTTTCCCACACACAAGAGCTTCCTGACACCGAGCGCCTTATCTCCAGCCAACCTCTGGCTCCTCCAGGGATCCTGGGACTCAGGCTCATACTCCAGCATGGGGGGCTTTGCCCTTCTGGTGGTGCTGTCCTTTGGAGGCACCTTGGAACAGGGGTGCAACAGAGTTAAGGAAGTGCCATCTGTTGCATGGATACCTTGCTGCCACTCTTGTCCACCTTCCTGGGGTAAAATCCTGGGATGGGTCTTTATTTAAGAAGACAAAAGGGAGAGAGAATGCATAGAGGCCAGGAGCAGTGGCTCATGCCTGTAATCCCAGCACTTTGGGAGGCCAAGGAGGGGGTGGATCACTTGAGGTCAGGAGTTCGAAACCAGCCTGGCCAACATAGTGAAATGCTATCTCTACTAAAAATACAAAAAAATTAGCTGGCTGTGGCAGCAGGAGCCTATAATCCCAACTACTCAGGAGGCTGAGGCAGGAGAATCGCTTGAACCCAGGAGTTGGAGGTTGCAGTTAACCAAGATCACACTACTGCACTCCAGCCTGGGCAACAGAGGGAGACTCTGTCTAAAAAAAAAAAAAAAAAAAAGAATGCATAGAAGTTGTCTGTGTGACCCTGGGCAAGTCATTTCCCCTCCTTCCCTCCTTGGGAGTCAGCTCCTTGCCTGTGAACGGGGACAGTGCTTCTCCCTTACAAAGCTGTTGTGAGAATTAAAGTAGAAAATGCACCTGTGGTGGTTGTTGGTAGTGAGTGGTTCCCCCAATCCTGACTCCCCTGCAGGATGAGGCCTGGGCCCAGGGACAGGGGATGGGCTGGCAGAGGATGCCCGTCCTAGAGAGGAACCTTCTTGGCAGACGTGGAGACTTAGCTAAGCAAGAGTCCAAGATCTAAGTTTGAGGGTGCATCTTACACCCTGCAGCCATGAGTCTGCAGCTGGGTCGAGTGGCCTTTCTAAGCTTCAGTTCCTTATCGGTAAAGCCTGGGCAGTGGTGCCCAGCGTCTTTCACAGGACACAGTGTGAGTGCAGATGGAGACCCGCTGAGCAATCTGCTGGGGTGAAATTCATGGGGAGCACCCCTCCAGAGAGGGATGGCTCGCACAGGGCCCTCAGCCCAGCCCCTTGCAGGCTGGACCTTGAAGAGTGAGGCTCTGAGGCGAGACATGAGCACCTGGTTCCTGGCCTGCACCTGCATCTGCACCTGTGTCTGCTCGGGAGTCTCTGTCTTGGGGGATGGACGAGGTGAGGGCTGGGCACTAGTGTCTGTATGAGGTGTGTGGAGAACTAGGGCATGTTTGGGGGACTGGTTTGTCCGACGTTGAGACCCTAGGGAAAGGTTTGGCCCAAACTGTGCTGGGGCATGTCCTCTAGGGGTCAGCCTGGACCTCAGTCTCTATTCTCCCTACCTTTACCTTCCTACCTTCAGTCCCCGCAGCAACCCTAGTCTCCCTTCCTTCACCCTCTTGACGCCTCTCTAAGTCTGACTTGCCCGTGTACCATGGGTCAGAGCCCGCCACTTCCCAGGCCTCCCAGTGCTTCCCTGGGCAGATTCTGGGATCATTCAGTGGTGACTGCCCTGCTAGGGTGTCAGCTGTCAGATCCCTTCACAACCCCCCAACTCAACTCTGCCCTGAAGCACTCACGGTGGGCTCCCAACTGTCACTGTCTCCAGGACCAAGGGCCAAACTTCACCTGCCTCACCAACAACAATCTCAGGATCGATTGCCACTGGTCTGCCCCAGAGCTGGGCCAGGGCTCCAGCCCCGGGCTCCTCTTCATTAGGTGAGCGTGGAGGGCCATGCCCACCTGGACAGGGATGAGGGTGAGGTCCCCAGGATGGCAGCAGCTACACCACGACAGTGTAACAGCCCCGTGGTGCTGACACTTGCCCTTTCTAGCAAGCAGGCTCCTGGTGGCACACATAAGTGCATCTTGTGGGGCAGTGAGTGCACTGTCGTGCTTCCACCCAAGGTGGTGCTCCTGCCGTCCGACAATTTCATCATCACTTTCCACCACTGCACGTTTGGGAGGGAGCAGGTCAGCCTGGTGGAGCTGCAGTACCTGCCCTGGAGACACGGTATCAGCTATAGACCTGGGGCAGGGCCCCTCGCCAATAACATCCTGGCTGCCTGGGGGCTGGGGTCAGGGCCCTGCAGCCTGTGACCCCTGTGGCCCAGCGAGTGTTCTCAGTCCCTGCCAAGTGAGATCCAGGGCTGGGGGCAGGCTTGGCCCCTGGGAGAGGAGGGCACACATGGTTACTGCGGGGGCAGGGTTTTGTAGAAAATAAAGATGCAGGGCTGCTAGTTTGGGGCAGGGGCTGGCACTAGAGTTATGTGAAATGCACTTCAGCCATACCAGGAAGGACTCCAATAAGATGCTGGGAAGGACTTCCAGCAGCAGACTGTGAAGGAAAGGGAACACAAGATTTAGAAACCGCCTAGTCTAGCTGCAGAGGCCAGAGGAAGTCATTGCTGTCCTGTCCCGCCTGGGGCTTTTCTGGACCAGTCTCCCTGTGAGGTGCCTGGTCTGAGAGGGCCTGGACCATGCCCCACCCCTTGGGTGTGTTGACTGACACACCCAGACCCATGGGGCTTCAGCCTTAGGTAGATTCACTCTGTTCCAGTGAAGCTGGACCCGCTCTCTGACTTGCAGAGCATCCTGACCTGGAGCATCAGTCCTGCCTTGGAGCTGATGACCACACTTCTCAGCTATGAGCTGGGCTTCAAGAGGCAGGAGAGGTAACACTTTGACTGGCTTCCCCTGGGGTCCTCTCTCCTGGGAGCAGCAGTCCAGGGCAGACTCCCCACTCTAAACAAGGAGATGTCAACTTGGAGTGATGAGGAGGGGAGGAACTGGAGCCAGGTGTGTGTGTGAACACACACGTGCTGACATGCACCTGTGTGTGCTTTGTGTGTGTGTGTGAGTAGGGTGAGTGTGCCTGTGTCTCTGTGAGTGCGTGCACATGAGTGTGCATGTATGTATGTGTGCACACACGTGTGCACTGAGGCTGCTCACAGCCCTTGGCCCTTCCTGCCCACAGGCCCTCTGATCCCACCCTGGGGGCGGCCAGGCAACACCTTTGTTGCTGTGTCTGTCTTTCTCCTGCTGACTAGCCTGACCTACCTCCTGTTCAAGCTGTCGCCCAGGTAGGTAGCTGATGTGTGTGTGTGTGTGTGCGCGTGTGTGTACATGTGTGAGCGGGCAAGAGTGTACACGTTAGTGTATGTGTGCAGATGTGTGACTGTGTGCATGTGTGAGTGTGTGGTGGGTGGGCTGTCAAGGGCCACCCTTGTCTGGTTCCTACCCTCCCCTCTCCACTGCTTGGTCCTGGATGGGGTGGGCTTTTCCAGTCTCCACCCTGGTCCAGAAGAGGGTTCTCAAGTTGCCAGGGGAGAGCAGGGAAGGGGGGTCTGAGGCAGAGGCTGAAGATAAGGGCAGCTTGGTCCTGACCAGACCCAGAGTCACCGAGATCAAGAGCCGGAGGTCCTAGTCTCCTGCCTCTGGAGGAGCTTGGTGTGTTCTTTTGTTCACACGTTATATGAAAGGTCAGTTGGGGCATCTGGTATGCACAGGACCCTGTTCTCACCCTGGCCGATGCCTTAGAGAACAAGATGGACAAGGGCCCTCCTTAAATAAACCATCACGCCTCATGCACCACATGTCAGGTTACAAGAGGGAGTGCAGGGGCCATGTCAGGCCGAGGATGTGAGGAAGAGGGTGTGGGGAGAGGGGTGTTGGGTGGGGCTAAGCGGGAGGGTGCTTGGCTTCTCCTTGGAGCAAAGGAAAGTGTGAAACTGTAACGCGACCTAGTTTATGTTTTGAGGAATGGATTGCTGGAGTAAGGGGACATGGGGGACCTGCTGTGGGCCATTGGGGGCCAGTGGGGTGCCCACAGGGAGATGATTTGGCATGAGCCAGTGAAAGAAGTGGAGATAGAGCAAGGTGGAGGGAATTGCAGGGTCTTAGGGGGAGAATAGAGGGGACGTGTGACTGGATGAGATTTGAGTGGTGACCCCTGAGGTGGGGAAATGGGGGACATCCTTGCGGGGAGGTTGGCAAGGTCTATTTGCACCTGTTGGGTTGGAGCCCCAGGTGACATCCTTGTGGGAGGGTCAGTGGATCTTCGGCAGCAAGTCTGGTGCTCAAGGAGACACTGGGTGGGGTGGCAGCCACAGAACTTCTGCTGATGTCAAAGACAAGGTTCCTGGAGGTGCTGGCTCCCTCTGCGGGCTGAGGACCCGGCTGGTAACTCCCCATTCTGAACCCACCATTGGAGGTCATGCTGTAAAGGACGCCTGCCTTAGTATAAATCAGTTCTGTGCGGCCGTTAGGCAAGGAGGCCCAGTTGGGTCCTGCCCTGAGAGTGGGTTGGGATGTGATGAGATGGGAGAGAGGCAGTGGCAGGGATGAGATGGGTGGGCCTCCTGCTGATGGAAGGAAGCTCAGCCTCTGTGGTGACCTCAGGCCCCCTGCGTCCCCATAGGCCTCTGACTGGCCTCTCCTGGCCTCAGGGTGAAGAAAAACTTCTACCAGAATGTGTCCTCTCCAGCAGTGTTCTTCCAGCCCTCTACAGTGTGCACAATGGGAACTTCCAGGTGTGTGCAGAGACCACGGCAGGGCGTTGGGGGCAGGTGTTGCCCAGAGCTCCGGCTTGCCCGAGATGTTGGCTTTCAAGAGGGTTGGCGGCCAGTATGGGAGCCTTGTCAGTGCTTGGAGCCTTTTTTGTATATTCACTGTATTTCAATTTATACGCTGTGTCTCCAGTGGGGAAAAACTGGCTTTATTCTCCGTTACTGATTTCTTTTTGTTCTCATGTCTCCAGTTCCACTGTTGATGGAAAAATGTAAATTTCTCATGACTTATCTCTGTCCCCTCTGGTTTGCGGCTGTCTGCACCCACCATGTGCCTCACCTCCTCCTTCTGCGAAGGTGTCTGTCCCGTGGCTGTGGGGAAGGGTCTGTGGTGTGTGTGCTGCCCTTGGGGCTCTCACTGCCTCTGGGCTCCTGCTCTGCCTGGTCCCCTGGTCCCTACGGATCGCATGCTGGCACCACAGCTGAGGAGTGGGCTCTTCACTTCCCCTTCTGTTGCCCTGTTGGGCCCACACAGCCCAGGCACCAGTGAACAACTTGGGGGTTCCATCAGCCCCTCCCCTCCCTGCTGGGCTGGCGGTTCATGCCCCCTGGGTGGGAGGAGGGGGAGAGGGAGGGCTCCAGTGAGTGGTCCCTGGTTGTTCCCCTCAGACTCCTCACTTTGGGCAAAGGACAAGAAGCAGTGAGGGCCCCTCCCTGGGTTCTGGGCCAAGCTGACCCCTCTTCTCCAGGATCTTCCCTCCCTGTGCCCTAGGGCATCCCTGGGCCCTGTGTGGCAAGGATGTCCCCTCCGCACTGCAGCTCCAACTTACTATGCAGAAACATCCTTTTCTCTCTCAATGAGGAGCCTAGTTTTCAAGATTTTTGTCCAAATATTCAATTTGAACCCTAAACTGGGCACCTGGCTCTTGGCAGAGTCTCCCCTTTTCCCCAAGGTGGTAGGTGTGACTGTTAGGAGCCTGGGCAGCTGAGTACAAGGCTGAGCAGGACACAGATCGTGACTGTCCCCTGGACTGTCATCCTGTTATAGGCACCAGCTCTTCCCTAGAGAACAAGGGCACCTGCCAGTTGTTATTTAGACCCTCGGGTGGTGCCGTAGGTTTGTCTCCAGGGAGCAGTGCAGTGACGGAGGGTGTGTTGTGTGTTTAGGGAGCAGTGCAGTGACGGAGGGTGTGTTGTGTGTTTAGGGAGCAGTGCAGTGACGGAGGGTGTGGTGTGTGTGATGCATGGGATGGAGGCTCCTGGTCCCACCAAGGGAACAGCTTCCTTTTGGAGGTGGGGGCCTCCTGTGGCCCCACAGAAGGATCCAGGTCTGCTGGCCATAGCCCAGTGCTTTGAAAGTCACCAGTCCTGACAGTGACTCGTGTGTGTGTGTCTGTGTGTGTGTTTGTGTGTATGTCTGTGTGTGTGTCTGTGTGTGTGTGTGTGTGTGTGTGTGTGTGTGTGTGTGTGTGTGTGTTGGGAATGCCCAGTCTCTGCAGCTGCTGAAAGGCCCTGAGGCACATGCTGTCAGGAGCTGGCTCTGTCCTGGGCAGATATCACCATCTGTACCTTGGTTCAGGCTGCCGTGGGCACCAGACCCTGTGCTGGGGGAGTGCTGAGGAGCCTGAAGGGACTCAGGGTCCCATGATGAGGATGGGCTGGCACATGGAGGAAAGACAGAATGTCCAAGACACAGGCGCTGCTTGGCCTCTGGGTGTGGACCTCAGGAGGGCTTCCTGGAGGAGGAGGGAGGCTGGGCTTGCCAGAAAGGAGGCAGCTGCTCCCAGGATGAGTTCTGAACATGCTGCCTGAGCCCTTCGCTCCTCCCACACTCTGTTCCAGACTTGGATGGGGGCCCACGGGGCAGGTGTGCTGCTGAGCCAGGACTGTGCTGGCACCCCACGAGGAGCCTTGGAGCCCTGCATCCAGGAGGCCACTGCACTGCTCACTTGTGGCCCAGTGGGTCCTTGGAAATCTGTGGTCCTGGAGGAGGAGCAAGAGGGCACTGGGACCAGCCTCTGGGGCAACCTGAGCTCAGAGGATGTGCTGCCAGCAGGGTGTAAGGAGTGGAGGGCACAGCCGCTTGCCTATCTGCCACAGGAGGACTGGGCCCCCATGTGCCCCACCAGGCCAGCTCCCCCAGACTCAGAGGGCAGCAGTAACAGCAGTGACTACTGAGCCTCGAGCTGCTACGGGGGATGCCACCCCTCATCCCTCCCAGGAAACACACAGAGCCCTGGGCCCATCCCAGCCCTGGCCTGTGGCCTTTTCTGTGACCATCAGGGCTTGGAGACCCAGCAAGGAGATGCCTGGGTGCTGGCTGGTCACTGCCAGAGATCCGGGCTGCATGAGGACCTCCAGGGCACGTTGCTCCCTTCCGTCCTCAGCAAGGCTTGGTCCTGGACGTTCTAAGTCCCTGACTTGCCATATGCATCATGTCCATTTTGGGAAAATGGACTTAAGTCTCTGGAACCCTTGTCTGGGACTGAACCTCCTGAGAACGGGCCCTAGTAGTGGTTGGAGGTCCTCTCTGGATGGAGGCTCAGGGGCAGCTTCAGGGAGGAAGGATCCCTCTGCTCAGTGCCTGTGGGGAGAACCTCTACCCTCAGCATCCTGCCCACAGGTTTCTCCTGCTGTCCCTTTTCTTTATCCCTGGCCTCTCTGAGAAGAAGGTTATGGTCTCTCAGCTGTTCCGCCCTCATCCCCTTAAAGGGCCAGCCAGGGCCCAGTGGACACAGGTAAGGCACCATGACCACCCGGTGTGACCTGTTTGTGCCTTCCTGAGGCACCTTTCTAGAGATTAAAAGGGGCTTAATGGCTGTTCCAAAGTGCAGATGGCTGGGAAGAGGGGCCAGAGGAGGAGTGAGGGGTGAGGTTTGGCCAGCCCTGGGCTTTCTGGGCTCTAGGGACAGCGTGGTGGAGGCTCAATGACACTTTTGGGGACAGCAGGGTGGAGGCTCAGGGACAGCTCTGGAGACAGCAGGGTGGAAGTTCAGGGGCAGCTCCAGGGACAGCAGGGTGGAGGCTCAGGGACAGCTCTGGGCTGAGCTCAGGGTGGAGGCTCAGGGACAGCTCTGGGCTGAGCTCAGGGTGGAGGCTCAGGGGCAGCTTCAGGGACAGCAGGGTGGAGGCTCAGGGACAGTTCCTGGGAGGCCAGCGCCCTTCTTCCTCTTTGTCCTCATACTCCCATCTGCTCCAGGAAACTGAGAGTTGAGGCTGGAGCTCCCAGACAGTCAGTGCTGGAAGTGACCATCCAGCAGTGATGGTGGCCTGTGAAGGGTCCTGCTTCTGTCCTCAGCCTCTCATGGGGTGGGCTTGGGGAGGAGCTGTGGTCTGGAGAGAGCGGCAGATGGAGCACAACATGCCTGCATTTGTTTCCTAGGGCTGCCGTAACAAAGTGCCACAAAATGGGTAGCTTAGAATCACAGAAATTTGTTGTCTCACAGTTCCAAAGACCAGAAGTTGGAAATAAAGATGTTGGCAGTGTTCCCGACTACATGTTCTTAGGCTCCCACGAAACAGAAGTTGATACAAGGCCAAGTAAGTTTCCCAGACAAGGCTTTATTAAGTCTTATGCCCCTAAAGGCTGGGCAGAAAAGAGACGTATTAAGTCTTATGCCCTAAAGGTTGGCCAGGAGGAAGGATTCTTGGCTGGCTCCCCAAGGGGAGTGCGTTGTGGTGTCCTGAGGGTGACATGCATACTTTATGAGTTAGGTGAGTGTCATTACACCTATGGGGTGGAGTGAAGGGTGCTCAGATGCAGTAAAGAATCATGCTAACACATACATTGCGTGATCAGAAAATAGCTGAAAAGCCCATACCTGGGTGGGGACTTTAGTATTATAATGAGGCCAGGGGTAAGGATTGGTCATTCTCCTGGCCTCGTGCACAACAGGGTGATGGAGTCAACTCCCTTGAGTAAGACTTATGGCGAGATGCTGCTTATCTTAGTTTATTTCAGAAGGTTGGCAGGGTCTGGCCAGCGAGTATGGCACCTGGAGGGTGGTGCTGCAAGGTCTGGTGGTCAGCGGGCATGTATGGAACAACACGTTAGTTGGGGTGGGCCGAGTCCCATTTCTACTCTGTCTCAGCAGGGCCGTGCTCCCTCTGAAGGCACTAGGAAAGTATCCATTTCGGGCCTCTCTTCAGCTTCTGTTAGTTTCTTGGCTTGTGACAGCAAAACTCCATTTTTTTTTAAGATGGCGTCTTGGTCTGTCGCCCAGGCTGACGTGCAGTGGCGTGATCTCAGCTCTCTGTAACCTCTGCCTCCCCGGTTCAAGTGATTCTCCTGCCTCCACCTCCGAGGTAGCTGGGATTACAGGCGCCAGCCACCATGCCCAGCTAATTTTTGTATTTTTAGTAGATACAGGATTTTGTCATGTTGGCCAGGCTGGTGTCAAATTCCTGGCCTCAAGTGATTGCCTGCCTCCATTTCCCAAAGTGCTGAGATTACAGACATAAGCCACTGCACCTGGGCATGTCATCTGTATATCTTTTTTGGTGAGGTGTCTAACTTTTAATTGGGTTGTTTTTCTTTTTGTTGTTAGAATTTGTTTGTATATTTTGCGCACAAGTCTTTTTCAGGTTTGTTTTTTAAATATTTTCTCTCAGTCTGTGGCTTGTTTTTTGATTCTCTTAACTGGATATTTCACAGAGTAGTCATTTTAAATTTTAATAAAGTCCACATTATCATTTTTTATCTTATGAACTGGCTTTTGGTATTGTATCTAAAGACTCATCACCAATCCAAAGTCATATGGATTTTCTTCAATAACTTTTACAATTTTATATTTGAAAATTTAAGTCTACAGTCTATCTTGAATTATTTTTTAGGGGTGAGCTATGAAGTTTGTACCTACGTTCATTTTTTTCCCTATGGTTTCCGATTGTTCTGTCGCCATCTGTGGAACAGACTTTTCTTTCCCCACTGAATATTTTTGCCCCTTTGACAAAAGCAGTTGACTATATTTATTTGGGTCTTTTGGGTTCTGTATTCTATTCTGTTTATCTATTTGTCCATTCCTTCACCAATATCACTCTCTTCATTACTTTAGCTTTGTGGTAAAGCTAAAAGTAATGAGTGTACTGCTCCTAACAAAGAGTATCTGCATTTATTTATATATTTTTTATTCTTCCCAACCATGATCCAAGGTTTTCTGAATGCATATTTGGATGTATTTTGTTACATTTATACTTAATAAATTCAATTTTGGGGGTGCTATTATAAATGGTAATTTTTTTTAAATTTCAAGTTCAAATTATTCCTATATATTATTGCTGATAGAAAGTCAGGCAGTGCATGGTGGCTCACTCATGTAATCCTAGCACTTTGGGAGGCTGAGTTGGGAGGATCACTTGAGCTTGGGAGTTCTAGACCAGCCTGGGCAACATAGTGAGACCCACTCCCCCCAGTAAAAAATAAAATAAAATAATTAAAACAAATAAATAAAAGAAAATCAGGTGGGGCTTGGCACGGTGGTTCACACCTGTAATCCCAGTGCTTTGGGAGGCTGAGGTTGGAGAATCTCTTGAACCCGGGAGCTGGAAGCTGAACCCGGGAGCTGGAAGCTGAACCCAGGAACTGTGATTATGCCACTGTCCTCAAGCCTGGGTAACAGAACGAGACCCTGTCTCTAAAAAGAAAAGAAAGAAAATCAATTTAGTTTTGTCTACTGGCCATCTTCTTTTTCTTTCTTTCTTTCTTTTTTAATTTTTTGAGAAGGAGTCTCGCTCTGTCGCCAGGCTGGAGTGCAGTGGCACAATCTCAGCTCACTGCAACTTCCGCCTCCCGGGTTCAAGCGATTCTCCTGCCTCAGCCTCCAGAGTAGCTGGGATTACAGGCACGCGCCATCATGCCTGCTAATTTTTGTATTTTTAGTAGAGACGAGAGTTCACCACGTTGGCCAGGCTGGTCTCGAACGCCTGACCTCAAGTGATCCGCCCGCCTCAGACTCTCAAAGTGCTGGGATTACAGGCGTGAACTGGCCATCTTCTTTGATTACTATCTCAATGCGTTCCCGTCAAGGCACGGGATGGTGGTCTCCAGTTCAGTTGAAATTTCCAAAATCTCGGCCTGGAAAAATCCAGACGCTGATTTTCAGAGATTCTCCAGAGCTGCCGCGAGGGGGCGCCCGGCCCTGCCAAACCCGGAGGGCGGCGCGCGCGCGAACCGTGTCCGAACCGCACGGCGGCGGCGTGGGGCGTCCACTGTGAGGACGGAGCTTCCTCTCAGCACCCACCCCGGAGGGGCCGGGGCTTCGGGACACCTGGGGCCACGTCCGCTGTGAGGACAGGGAGACGCTCCGGGACACCTGGGGCCGCCGGGGAGAAAGTGAGAAAAAGGCTTCCTGCCGCCGCTGTGAGTGCAGCGGAGCGAGCGCGGCGCGTTTCCCGTCTGGCCATTTGTACCCAGACTTCACTTTGTACGAGCGTCCCTTCATGGAGGCTTGGGCGGCTCACCCCCAGCACAGGACAAGATGCCGGTTACCGATGCGATTTTGTTTCTGGGGAGAGACCCTGGTCCCCGGAGAGGAGGAGGAACGTGGAGAGGCCGTTGTGCCGTCGGTCGGGAGGCTGGGGACTGGCAGGGGCCACAGCCTGAGGCCGAGGAAACAGACGCCCCCTGATCGGTGCTCGTGTTTTTTTTTTTTTTTTTTTTTGAGACGGAGTTTCGCTTCGGTTTCCCAGGCTGGAGTGCAATGGCACGATCTCGGCTCACTGCAACCTCCGCCTCCCGGGTTCAAGCGATTCTCCCGCCTCAGCCTCCCGAGTAGCTGGAATTACAGGGACCCGCCATCACGCCCAGCTAATTTTTTCTATTTTTAGTTGAGACGGGTTTCACTATGTTGGCCAGGCTGGTCTCGAACTCCTGACCCCAGGAAATCCACCCGCCTTAGCCTCCCAAAGTGTTGGGATTACAGGCATGAGCCATCTCGCCTGGCCAGTGCTTGGTGTTTTAAGGCTTATTTGTTAACGTAGTGGAAACAACGCAGGAAAATGGAAAAGTAGCACATTATGCTCACTGCACTGCACTCCAGTCTGGGCGACAGGGCGAGACCCTTTTTAAGAGTAAAAAGAAAATAAAGAAAATAAATTGAGTTTTGTCTACCGGCCATCTTCTTTTTGTCTTTTTTTTTTTTTTTTTGAGACAGAGTCTTGCTCTGTCACCCAGGCTGGAGTGCAGTGGTGCGATCTTGGCTCACTGCAACCTCCGCCTCCCGGGTTTAAGCAATTCTCCTGCCTCAGCCTCCGGAGTAGCTACGATTACAGGCGCCCACCACCACATCTGGCTAATTTTTGTATTTTTAGTAGGGATGGGGTGTCCTCATGTGGGCCAGGCTGGTCTCGAACTCCTGACCTCAGGTGATCCACCCACCTCTGCCTCCCAAAGTGGTGGGGTTACAGGCGTGAGCCACCACGTCCAGCCTTTTTTCGGTTTGTTTTGTTTTAAGAGAGAAGGTCTTGCTCTGTCACCCAGGCTGGAGTGCAGTGGTGTGATCACAGCTCACTGCAGCCTCGGTGTCCTGGGCTCCAGCAATCCTCCGGCCTCAGCCTCCCAAGTAGTTAGGAGTATAGGCACCAGCCACCATGCACAGCTAATTTAAAAAAAAAAATTTGGCTGGGCGCGGTGGCTCACGCCTGTAATCCCAGGTGTGAATGACTTTGGGAGGCCTTGGTGGGGGGATCACCTGAGGACAGGAGTTCGAGACCAGCCTGGTCAACATGGCAAAACCCCGTCTCTACTAAAAATACAAAAATTAGCCATGCATGGTGGCGCGCACCTGTAATCCCAGCTACTCGGGAGGCTGAGGCAGGAGAATTGTTTGAACCCTGGAGGTGGAGGTTGCAGTGAGCCAAGATCGCGCCATTGCACTCCAGCCTGGGCAATAAGAGTGAAACTCCGTCTCAAAAAAAAAAAAAAAAAAAAAAAAATTGGCACAGACAGTAGGATCTTTACGTTGCTCAGGTTTGTCTTGAACTCCTGGGCTCAAGTGATCCTTACACCTCAGCCTCCCACAGTACTGGGATTACAGGCGTGAGCCACTGCACCTAGCCTGGAGTCTCTTCTTAACTTCCTTCTCCCTTCCCCTTCTCCTTCCCCTTACTTTCTTCCTTCTTTTTTCCTTCTTTCTATTTTTTTCTTTTTCTTTCTTTCTTTTTTTTTTTTTTTTTTGATACTGAGTCTCGCTCTGTCGCCAGGCTGGAGTGCAGTGGCGCGATCTCTGCTCACTGCAACCTCCACCTCCCGGGTTCAAGGGATTCTCCTGCCTCAGCCTCCAGAGTAGCTGGGACTACAGGCGTGTGCCAACACGCCCAGATAATTTTTGTATTTTTAGTAGAGATGGGATTTTACCATGTTGGCCAGAATGGTCTCGATTTCCTGACCTCGAGTGATCCGCCCGACTCGGCCTCCCAAAGTACTGGGATTACAGGCGTGAACTGGTCATCTTCTTCGATTGCTATCTCCATGCGTTCCGGTCAAGGGACGGGATGGTGGTCTCCAGTTCAGTTGAAATTTCCAAAATCAGGGCCTGGAAAAAATCAGACGCTGATTTCCAGAGATTCCCCAGAGCTGTCGCGAGGGGGCGCCCGGCCCTGCCAAACCCGGAGGGCCGCGCGCGCGCGAACCGTGTCCGAACCGCACGGCGGCGTCCTGGGGGGTCCACTGTGAGGACGGGGGGTCCACTGTGAGGACGGGGGGTCCACCGTGAGGACGGAGCTTCCTCTCCTCAGCACCCACCCAGGAGGGGCCGGGGCTTGGGACACCTGGGGCCGCGTCCGCTGTGAGGACAGGGAGACGCTGCTGCAGCTCCGGGACACCGAGGCAAAAGTGAGGAAAAGGCTTCCTGCCCGCGCTGCGAGTGCAGCGGGGCGAGCGCGGCCGCGTTTCCCGTCGGGCTGTTTGTATGTGGACTTCACTTTGTGCGAGCGTCCCTTCATGGTGGCTTGGGCGGGTCACCCCCAGCGCAAGGCCAAGATGCCGGTTAGGAATGCGAGTTTGTTTCTGGGGAGAGACCCTGGTACCGGGAGAGGAGGAGGAAAGCGGAGACGCCGTCGGGCTGTCGGGATGTTGGGGACTGGCAGGCGCCACAGCCTGAGGTCGAGGAAACGGGCGCCCCCGGATCAGCGCTCATTTTGTGTTTTGTTTTGTTTTGGAGACGGACTTTCGCTCTTGTTTCCCAGGTTGGAGTGCAATGGCGCGATCTCGGCTCACTGCAACCTCCGCCTCCTGGGTTCAAGCGATTCTCCTGCCTCAGCCTCTCGAGTAGCTGGGATTACAGGCATGCGCCAGCACGCCCGGCTAATTTTGTATTTTTAGTAGAGACGGGGTTTCTCCATGTTGGTCAGGCTGGTCTTGAACTCCCAACCTCATCAGGTGATTCACCCACCTCGGCCTCCCAAAGTGCTGGGATTACAGGCGTGAGCCACCTGGCCTGGTCAGTGCTCCGTGTTTTCAGACTCATTTGTTAACATAGTAGAAACAACACAGGAAAATGGAAAAGTAGGCACATTATCATGCTCACGCCACTGCACTCAAGCCCTGGGCAACAGAGCGAGACCTTGTCTCAAAAAACAAAAACAAATGAAAACAAAACCAAAAACACCATTGTGTGCGTCTAATGGAAGTGAACTCGTCAACAACAGTTTTTCTTTTGTTGAGAAAGTCTGTTTAATTTGCAGTGTATTTGTAATGGTACAGAAAATGACGTCTGTTTTATAAACATTCTCATCCTAAGTTAGTTGAAATGTATTAACTATATCAAGCTTTGACATGATACCATAAAATTAATTGAAGAAAGTCACTAATCTTTTTTTTTTTCCCTTGGCCTTCAGCATTTTAAATAAAATCAGATTTCGTTAAGGTTATTTAATACTGAGCTGTAAACCCGTATGGCCCTGCGGTGTCTTTTCTTATTTTTTCTTTTTGCTTTTTTTTTTTTTTTTTTGAGATGGAGTGTCGCTCTGTCTCCCAGGCTGGAGTGCAGTGGCGTGAGCTCAGCTCGCTGTAACCTCCACCTCCCAGGTTGAAGCAATGCTCTGTCTCAGCCTCCCCAAGAACTGGGATTACAGGCGCCTGCCACAATGCCCTGCTAATTTTTTTGTATTTTTAGTAGAGATGGGGTTTCACCATCTTGGCCAGGCTGGTCTTGAACTTCTGACCTCGTGGCCACCCGCCTTGGCCTCTCAAAGTGTTGGGATTACATGCGTGAGCCACTGAGCCAAGCCTCTTTTCTTTTTTTGACATGGAGTCTCACTTTGTCGCCCAGGCTGGACTGCAGTGGCGCGATCTCAGCTCACTGCAACCTCCACCTCCTGGGTTCAAGCACTTCTCCTGCATCAGCCTCCTGAGTAGCTGGGATTCCAGGCCTGCATCACCACGCCGGGCTAATTTTGTATTTTTAATAGAGGTGGGGTTTCACCATGTTGGCCAGGCTGGTCTCGAACTCCTGACCTCAAGTGATCCACCCACCTCGGCCTCCCATAGTGCTGGGATTGCAGGCAGGCCTGAGCCACCACGCCTGGCTGCTTTTTTTTTTTTTTTTAATTAAAAAAATTTTTTTGTTTGTTTTTTGAGACAGAGTTTAGCTCCTGTTGCCCAGGCTAAAGTGCAATGTCCCGATCTTGGCTCACTGCAACCTCTGCCTCCTGGGTTCAAGCAATTCTCCTACCTCAGCCTCCTGAGCAGCTGGGAATACAGGTGTGCACCAGAATGCCTGGCTAATTTTGTATTTTTAATAGAGATGGGGTTTCACCATTTTGGTCAGGCTTATCTCTAATTCCTGACCTCAAGTGATCCACCTGCCTCTGCCTCCCAAATTATTGGGATTATAGGTGTGAGCCACTGTACCCAGCCTTTACATTTTTATTGATTGATTTTTTTTTTTTAAGAGAGAAGGTCTTGCTCTATCACCCAGGCTGGAGTGCGGTGGTGTGATCATGGCTTACTGCAGCCTTGACCTCCTGGGCTCCAGCAATCCTCCTGCCTCAGCCTCCCAAGTAGCTTGGACTATAGGCACCAGCCACCATGCACTGCTAATTTAAGCAGGATCTTTATGTCCCTCAGGTTTGTCTTTAACTCCTGGGCTCAAGTGATCCTTACATGTCAGCCTCCCAAAGTGCTGGGATTACAGGTGTGAGCCACTGCACCCAGCCTAAGGTCTCCCCACTTTTTTTTTGAGACAGATTTTCACTTTTTCTTCTCAGGCTGGAGTGCAATGGTGAGATCTCGGCTCACTGCAACCTCTGACTCCTGGGTTCACATGATTCTCCTGCCTCAGCCTCCCAAGTAGCTGGGATTACAGGCATGCGGCTAATTTTGTATTTTTAGTAGAGATGGGGTTTCACCATATTGGTCAGGCTTGTCTCGAACTCCTGACCTCAGGTGATCCCTCACCTCGGCCTCCCCAAAGTGCTGGGGATTACAGGTGTGAGCTACTGCGCCCAGCCCTGCGGTATTTTTCTTTTTTCTTTTTCTTTTTTTTTGAGATGCAGTCTCACTCAGTTGCCCAGGCTAGGGTGTAGTGGCACGATCTCCGCTCGCTGCAACCTCCCTTTCCTGGACTCAAGCGATTCTCCTGCCTCAGCCTCCCAAGTAGCTGGGACTACAAGTGTGTGCCATGATGCCTGGGTAATTTTTTGTGTGTTTTTAGTAGAGGCGGGGTTTCACCATGCTGGCAAGGCTGGTCTCAAACTCCTTACCTCAAGTGATCTGCCCGCCTTGTCCTCCCAAAGTGTTGGGATTACAGGCATGAGCCACCACGCCCTGCCCCTGGGGTCCTTTTTTGATGGGGATCTCTAAGGGTCACTCCAAGCTTTTCTATGCTAATCGGTGTATTTAAATTTTCCTTATTTTAGAGTCCATTTTGTTGTGTATTTTTATTAGGAAATCACCCATTTTCTCTCTGTTTCCAGTTTGATTCAATATGTTTCTCCTTTTTTTTATTTTTTATTTTTTGAGACGGGGTTCTGCTCTGTCTCCCATGCTGGAGTGCAGTGGCGCAGTGGAGATCTCGGCTGACTGCAGCCTCCACCTCCTGTGTTCAAGTAATTCGTCCTCAGCCTCTTGAGTAGCTGGGATTACAGGTCTGCGCCACCATGCCTGGCTGATTATTGTATTTTTAGTAGAGACTGGGTTTTGCCATGTTGGCCATGCCGTTCTCAAACTCCTGACCTCAGCTGATCCGCCCGCCTCGGCCTCCCAAAGTACTGTGATTACAGGCATGAGCCAATAAGTTTCTCTTATTTGACTTCTAATTTATATCTTTCTAGTTTTTTACAGAATTCTTAATTCTATTTATTTCTGCGGTTTGTTTCCATCAATAATATTTTAAAAAATATCTGGGGACTGTTGTGGGGTGGGGAGAGTGGGGAGGGATAGCATTAGGAGATATACCTAATGCTCAATGACGAGTTAATGGGTGCAGCACACCAGCATGGCACATGTATACATATGTAACTAACCTGCACATTGTGCACATGTACCCTAAAACTTAAAGTATAATAATAAAAAAAATAAAAAAACAAAAACAAAACAAAACAACAACAACAAAATATACTTATTAGTTTATCTTGTTTTCAATTGAGGGAATTGTTATATTAAACAATTTCTTATGACCCAATGACAAGCTTTAATTATTTTAAAATAATTCCTGTCTAACACAACACCTTTTGCAGGAACCAGCTGTCAGTGGTATTGTTACTGACCAGAGTTTCTTGGCTCTCCAGTAATAGAAATTGACATGAGGATGAGCAAGTTTCCCAGACAAAGCTTTTATTTAGGTGTTTTGTTTAGCTTGGTTAAATTTATTTCACAAAGCTTTCGTTTTTGTGTTTTATATTCAAACACAAAGGAGGCAGCAGAAGAGAGAGAATTCTGTCTGGCTCCCTGAAGAGTCAGGAGGAGAGTGTTTTTAGGGTCTGGCCCGATTGCCCAGGCTGGAGTCCTCTGGCACCATCTCGGCTCACTGCATCCTCCCGGGCTCGAGCCATCCTCCCGCTTCAGCCTCCCCAGTAGCTGGGACTACAGGTGTATACAACCGTGCTCAGCTAATTTTTGTATTTTTTTTGTAGAGATGAGGTTTTGCCATGTTGCCCAGGCTGGCCTCAGATCCCCCCAAAGTGCTGGGATTACAAGCATGAGCCACCATGCCCGGCCCAGTGTGTTCTTATTAAATTTCAGTAATTAGTTACGCCATTTGCCTTTCGTTCAACACTGAGATTTCGTTTTTCTTTCCTAATTATCTCATACATGGACTTTGGTTCCATTAAACTATTATTTCCTTGATCTACAAATTGCGGGTGATTCTTAGAGATTATCTAAGAAATAATTACATTTTGTTTTTAGAAAAACCACATTATTAACTTTACTACTGTTAGATACCACACCTGCTGTGACTTTAGGGATTTTGCTGGACAGTGTCTTAGACAATTTGCTAAGGGTGGACATTGGGTGAATGGCTTGAGGGAACATGCATTAAATACTCGAGACACCCAGGAGGCTGCTGTGTCCCTGTAAGAGAGAGCATACAAGACTGCAGGCCACTGGGGTTGAATGCCTTGGAAAGGGCAGCATGCAGGAAGGAGCACACAGTGTGTGGAGGTCATGGTCAGTCCTGTGGTCCTTGTTCTAAGGCCAGTGGGAATCCATTGTAAAAGTTGAATCAGAGAGTGACATTGTGAACCTTGGGTTTGAAAATGAGAATTTTGCCATTTTACAGTTGAGATCACCAGTTGCGGGCAGGGGGATTGTGCTCTTTCTGGTGGGTTGCACTGAGGAGAGCAAGCATTGGGCTGAGGTGTTTCCCCTGGGAACGCAGGGTCTGCATCTGCTCAGGAGGAAACACGGGGCAGACCCAGCTGGGAGTTATCTGCCAACGTTGTGAAACTGAGGGACAGCTCAGGAACATTCCAGAAAAAGGAAAACCCAATCCAAATGGAAAGAGACCCTTTCTCCCACTTGGGGCAGGCAGTGAAGTGAAATGGGTCCCTGGATTGGATTGTCAGGTAGAGACCTTGTATTTCCTGATTTGGGAGTTACGTGGTGGTTAGCTGGGAGGCCGTCTTTGCTTTGGTAAAATACACTGGAGTGTTTTGTGTGGAGTTGCTGTAACTGCTGAGGAATCTAAGAGAAGGGATAAGTTACACTTTACACTGCTATTGCAAGATTCCTAGAAGTATGAAATTACTGTAAAGTAAATTGAAAACAACCACAGTAATACCATGTCAGTAAAGCAGAGATGGCATCAAACTTCACTACAGAGGCCAAACCCAGTCCAAATTCAGGTCAGTGGAAGCTGTGTACCAAGCACCCCGGTGAGAGTCTGGATGCTGTATCAGTATTGCGGCTGCAATATCAGTATTGAGGGTGTCACATGAGTCTTAGGGGTGTCATAGCAGTATTGTGGGCGTCATATCAGTATTTCAGGTGTCATATCTGTATTGTGTGCATCATATCAGTATTGCAGGTGTCCCATCAGTCTTATGAGTGTCATATCAGCCTTACAGGTGTCATATCAGTATTATGGGTGTCATATGAGTCTTAGGAGTGTCATGAATCTTGTGGGCTTCACATCAGTCTTATGGGTGTCACAGCAGTCTTGTGGGTGTCATATCAGTATTACGATATGCCGTGATATGTTATACCAGTATGATATCTCTTCTGAAAACACCTTCACAGACATACCCACACATAGTGCTTTAACAGCTCTCTGTGTATTCCTTAATCTGGTAAAGTTGACACCTAAAATTAACCATCACAGTATTTATGCCTGATTCATGGCTAAAATTTCAGAATTTTTAAAAATTTTAGAATGAAAGCCGGGCACCATAGCCAGACACCGTCCCTACATAAATATTAAAAAGTTAACTGGTTGTACTTGCACGCATATGTAGTTCCAGTTACTCTAGAGGCTGAGGTGGGAGGATCTTTTGAGCCCAGGAGATTCATGCTGAAGAGCTAGGATTGTGGCACTGCATTCCAGCCTGCGTGACAGTGTGAGACTCTCTCAAAAAACAATCAACAGTAATAATATTATTTGGAATAAATTTAACCAAGGTACAAGACTTGTACATGAGGCTGAGCATGGTGGCTCACGCCTGTAATCCCAGCACTTTTGGAGTCCAAGGCAGGTGGATCCATGAGGTCAGGAGATCAATACCATCCTGGCTAACACGGTGAAACCCCGTCTGTACTAAAAATACAAAACATTAGCCAGGGATCGTGGCATGCGCATGTAATCCTAGCTACTTGGGAGGCTGAGGCAGGAGAATTGCTTGAACCCAGGAGGCAGGGGTTGCAGTGAGCCAAGATCTTGCCACTGTACTCCACCCTGGGTGACAGAGTGAGACCCCATCTCTGGAAAAAACAAAAAACAACAACAAAATAACTTGTACATGGAAAATTTCAAAACATTGCTGAAGTAAATTCAAGAAAGCTTACATAAATTTAAAGACACCTCATATTCACGAACTGGAAGACTTAATAATTCTTAAGGTGGCAGTACTACACAAAGCCATCTACAGATTCTTTGTGATTCCTGTTACAATCCCAACGTCCTTTTGGCAGAAATCAACAGGCTGATCCTGTCATTTATACGAAATATCAAGGGATGCAGAATAGCCAAAATAGTGTCAAAAAAAAAAAAACAACAAAAAAACAAAACAACTCAGAGGCTCACATTTCCAAATTTCAAATCCTACTATAAAGCAACAGTAATAAAATCAACATGATTCTGGTATAATCCATTGAATAGATCAATGGAACTGAATTTTGAGTTCAGAAATAAACCCATATTTCTATGAGCAATTGCTTTATTTTTATTTTTTTGAGACAGGATCTCACTCTGTCTCCCAGGCTGGAGTACTGTGGCACAATCATGGCTCACTGCAACCTCTGTCTCCTGGGCTCAAGTGATCCTCCCGCCTCAGCCTCCCAAGTAGCTGGGGCTACAGGTATGCACCAGCACATCTGGCTAATTTTTTGATTTTTTTATACAGGTAGGGTCTTGCTGTCCTGCCCAAGTTGGCCTCAAACTCCTGTTCTCAAGTGATACTCCTCTCTTGGCCTCCCAAAGCATTGGGATTACAGGTGTCAGCTACCATGTCCAGCCTGTTGATTTTTAAAAATGTAATTTCTTTTTCTTTCTTTTTCAAGGCATGGTTTTGCCCTGTTGGCCAGGTTGGAGTGCAGTGGTGTGAACGTGGCTTATTGCAGCCTAAACCTCCTGGGCTCAAGCAATCTTCCCTCCTCTGTCACCCGAGTAACTAGGACTACAGATATGCATCGTCACACCTAGCTAATTTTTAAGTTATTTGTAGAGAGAGTGTTTTCCTGTGTTGGCCGGACTGGCCTGAAACTCCTGGGTTCAAAAGATCTTCCCACCTCAGCATCTCAAAGTGCTGGTATTACAGGTGTGGGCCACCACCCCCAGCCTGGAATGGTTTTCATAATTACATTCTCATGTTGTTTGTTGCTGGTGTCTGGAAATACAGCAGATTACTGTGTATTGACATTTTGTGTTGTAGTTTACTAGTTTTAATAATATTTTGGGGGTTTGTCATGATATTTCTGTACATAAGATAGCTCCTGTGATCTGTGAGTAGCCATTTGTACTGTTTCCTAACACATATAAGTTCTCTTTACTTCTTTTTCTCTCCTATTTGTTGTGGATGGAACTTCCCGTACAGTGTTGAATACAGTGATGAAAATGAGCATTGGTGCCTTGGTCCTGATCTTAGGAGTAAAGCACTGGGCCCTGACAATGGAGATTGTGCTAAAGTCCGATTGTGGTGTTTAGAAAATTCCTATCCCTGGTTTGTTGGGTGTTTTTATGATGAAATGGTGTTGACTTTGTTTAAAGTACTTCCTGCATCTATTGAAATTAGCATGTGGGTTTCTTCTTTATTCTGTTTATTTGATGTTCCTTTGCAGTGATGGCTTTAGTATGCCAAACCAGCTTGATTTTCTGAGAAAAGGATGTAGTGATCATGTTGTGCAATCCTCAAAATACGTGCTAGTATGAAATTACAATTATTTTCTTGGGCATTATTATTATTATTATTTTTAATTTTTTTGAGACAGAGTCTCACTCTTGTCGCCCATGCTGGAGTGCAGTGGCACGATCTCGGCTCACTGCAACCTCTGGCTCCCAGGTTCAAGCAATTCTCCTGCCTCAGCCACCTGAGTAGCTAGGATTACAGGCTCCCGCCACCACGCCTGGCTAATTTTTGTATTTTTAGTAGAGACAGGGTTTCACCATGTTGGCAAGACTGGTCTCAAACTCCTGACCTCAGGTGATCTGTCTGCCTTGGCCTCCCAAAGTGCTGGGATTTCAGGTGTGAGCCACCACACCCAGCCTCTTGAGCATTATTAATTGAATAATTATACTAGACATTGATCTGTACCTTTCTGTTCTTGTGATGTCAAGTCCTAGTGTGGTTTAGTATTAAATTGCGGATGGGATTGGGTATGGGTTGGTTTACTATTTAGCGTATTAAGTGTTAGAAGTTTAGGGGAAAAAAATTAGCAGAAAGAAAACATACCTGAGGAATTGCGGGGAAGAGTATGATGAGGTCTGGGTCAAAGTCAGGGTTTAGGGTTAGCAAGAGAGTGCCTGTAGCCTTTGTCAACAGTAAATATCAGTCCTTTTCTTGAGACAGGTTCTTGCTCTGTTGCCCAGGGAGGAGTGCAGTGGCACAGTCTTGGCTTATAGCAACCTCCAACTCCTGGGTTCAAATGATTTTTAGGCCTCAGCCTTCCAAGTAGCTGGGAACACAGGTGCGTGCCAACATGCCCAACTATTTTTTTTTTTTTTTTTTTTTTTTAGTGGAGATGGGGGTTTCCTCATGTTGACCAGGCTGGTCTCAAGCTTCTGGCCTCAAGTGATCCACTCACTTCTGCCTCCCAAAGTGCTGTGATTATAGGCAGGAGCCACCACGCCAGCCTGCACACAGGCAGGCAAAGATATTTTAATATTCTTTTAATTGGCACTTCCTTCAGTATTAGTCAGTGTAAGCAACTTTTCATTTATTTCTTAGTTGAGAGTTCTTTGGGTCACAAATCAGATGACATTTCAGTATGTATAGGGGTATGCATATGTGAGTGTGTTGATGTGTATGTGTGAGAGGAAGTGCAAACATAAGTATGACAGAATGAATATGCACACCTCTGTTCTTGTGTGCCTAGTGTGTTAGGGTTTGCTTAGAGTTTGATTTAGGGTTGGGGTAATGGTTAGGTTTAAGTTATGGAGAAGGGTTAGATGGTTAGTGTTAGGGTTAAGGGTTAGGGTGAGGGTGAGGGTGAGGGTTAGGGTTAGGGGTTAGTGTTGGGGTTGGGGTTAGGGTTTTAGAGTTAGGGTTAGGGGTTAAGGGTTAGGGTTAAGGGTTAGGGTTGGGGTCAGTGGTTAGGGGTCATGGTTAAGGGTTAAGGGTTGGGGTTGGGGGTTAGGGTTAGGGTAAGGGTTAGGGCTAAGGCTAGGACTAGGGTTAGGGTTTGGGGTTAGGGTTAGGGTTAGGGCTAGGGCTAGGGCTTTGAATAAACTTATATGGTAGCCAAGTTGTGGTTACAGTGGGCCTTGGGTGAGACCAAGTTCTATGGCTACTTCATGTGTGAACCAGCACAGTCTCAGTGGTGGTGGCCTCAGGGGTGCTTATGTTACCCCAACTCCAGCTCCACATGCCTCAGCAGAGAAAGAGAGACTCTGCTGGTTTCAGAGAAAGAAAGGGAAGAGAACAAGATCTCTACTTGAAAAATTAAGAGAATTTTTCTTGATGTTAATCCAAGGCCACCAAAGCAGTACCTTTACGTGTTTGCTACTGTGTATTGGGCTTGGGACCTAAGTCTCTTTGAACACTTGGAGAGTGTTCCCAAAAATAATGGGCACCAACAAGCCCAGACTGTGAAGACTACAATAAAGACTGACCTCTTCAATGCCCAGATATAGATGAACATCTATAAGTATCAAGGCCATCCAGGAAAACATGACCTCACCAAACAAGCTAAATAAGGCACCAGGGGCAAATCCTGGAAAAATAGAGATATGTGACCTTTCATACAGGAAATCCAAAATAGCTGGTTGAGGTAATTCGAAGAAATTCAATATAACACAGAGAAGGAATTCAAAATTCTATCAGATAAATTTAAAGATAAGATTTAAATAAAAAGAATAAAGCAGAAATTCTGAAGTTAAAATGCAATTA
Source organism: Homo sapiens (assembly GCF_000001405.40). NCBI lineage: Eukaryota > Metazoa > Chordata > Mammalia > Primates > Hominidae > Homo > Homo sapiens. The sequence goes on along the minus strand of NC_000010.11, from coordinate 63,601 downwards.
TCATACTGAAGAATGCATCAGAGTTACTTAAAAAAATTGATCAAGGAGAAGATAGATTTAGTGAACTTGAAGTCAGACTATTTGAAAAGACAAAGTCAGAGGAGACAAAAAAGAATAAAGAATAAAGCATGCCTACAGAATCTAAAAAATAGCCTCAAAATAGGAATCTAAGAGTTATTGGCCTTAAAGAGGTGGTAGAAAAAGAGATAAGAGTTAAACATTTATTGGCCCAGTGCAGTGGCTCACGCCTGTAATCCCAGCACTTTGGGAGGCCGAGGCGGGTGGATCACAAGGTCAGGAGATCAAGACCATCCTGGCTAACACGGTGAAACCCCATCTCTACTAAAAATACAAAAAGAAATTAGCTGGGCGCGGTGGTGGGTACCTGTAGTCCCAGCTCCTTGGGAGGCTGAGGCAGGAGAATGGCGTGAACCCAGGAGGCGGAGCTTGCAGTGAGCCAAGATTGTGCCATTGCACTCCAGCCTGGGCTACAGAGTGAGACTCCATCAAAAAAAAAAATTAAACATTTATTTAAAGAAATAATATTAGATAATATTAAACAATTCCCCAACATTCGATATCAACATTCAAGTACAAGAAAGTTACAGAACATCAAGCAGATTTAACCCAAAGAAGACCACCTCAAGGCACTTAACTGAACTCCCAAAGGTTAAGGATAAAGAAATGATTCTAAAAGCAGCAAGAGAAGAGACACAAATAACATTCAGTGGAACTCCAATACATCTGACAGCAGACTTTTCAGGGGAAAATTTACAGGCTGAGAGAGTGGCATGACATATTAGAAAAGCTGAAGAAAAAAAAGACTTTTACTTTAGAATAATGTATTTGGCAAAAAGTCCTTTAAACTTGACAGAGAAATGAGAACTTTTTCCGACAAACAAAAACTGAGGTATTTCATTAACACCAGACCTGTCCTACAAGAAATGCTAAAGGGAGTTCTTAGCCTGAAAGAAAAAAAGTGAATGAGCAATAAGAAGTCATCTGAAGGTACAGAACTCAACTAGTAATAGCACATGGAAAAACACAGAATATTATAAGATGGTAATTATGGTGTGCAAAAATCTCAAATAGAAAGAGTAAACAATAAACCAGTAAAAAATAACTACAACATATTTCCAAGACATAGACAGTAAAATAGGGAAGGAAGAGAAACAACAAAAAGTTTAAAAGAATGGCAATGGAGTTAAAGTGTAGAGTTTTTATTAGTTGCTTTGCTTGTTTCTTTGTTTATGCAATCAATGTTAAATTGTCCACAGTCTAAAATGATGTGTTATAAGATATTATATTCAAGCCTCATGATAATTTTAAATCAAAAAGCATACCACAGATGTACAAAAAGTAAAAAGCAATAAATTAGATAATATTAAAAGATAAATCACCTTCACTAAAAGGAAGACAGGAAGAAAGAAAAGAACGATGAGAGGACAAAAGTCAATCAGAAAACAAGTAACAAAAGGGCAGGAGTAAGTGCTTATCAATAATAACATTGAATGTACATGAATGAAATACTCCAATCAAAAGACAAATAGTGGATGAATGGATAGAGAAGCAAGACAATAATCTGTGACCTACAAAAAAAAAATACTTTACCTATAAAGATACATTTAGACTGAAAATAAAACGATGGAAAAAGTTATTCCATGCCAATAGAAACCAAAAAAGAACAGAAATAGCTTTACTTATACCAGACAAAAATAGATTTCAACAAAAGACTGTAGGAAGATATGAAGAAGGTCATTATATAATAATAAAGAGATCAATTCTTGAAGAGGATATAATTGGAAATATATATGCACCCAACACTAAAGCACCTAGATAAATGAAGCAAATACTATAAGAGCTAAAGAAAGAGACATCAATACAATAATGGCTGAACACTTCGACACCCTACTTTAGTCATTGGATAGACCTTCCAGACAGAAAATCAACAAAGAAACATCAGACTTAATCTGCACTGTATAACAAATGAACCTAATAGATATTTACAGAAAATTTCATCCAACAGCTGCAGAATACACATTCTTCTCTGCACATGGGTTATTTTCAAGGATAGACCATATGTTAAGTAGCAAGTCTAAAAACATTAAAAAAATTTGAAGTAATTTCAAGCATTTTCTCTGACCACAATGGAACAAACTAGAAATCGATTAAAAAATGAATTTCAGAAACTATACAAACACTTGGACATTAAACAATATGCTCTTGAATGATCAGTAGGTCAATAAAAATGTTAAAAAGAAAATGGAAAAATTTCTTGAAACAAATAATAGAAACATAGCATAGCAAAACCTGTGGAATATGGTAAAAGAGGTACTATTATGAAAGGAAAATTTCTTTATTTATTTTTCTTTTATTATTATACTTTAAGTTTTAGGGTACATGTGCACATTGTGTAGGTTAGTTACATATGTATACATGTGCCATGCTGGTGCGCTGCACCCACTAACTCGTCATCTAGCATTAGGTATATCTCCCAGTGCTATCCCTCCCCCCTCCCCCCACCCCACAACAGTCCCCAGAGTGTGATGTTCCCCTTCCTGGTCCATGTGATCTCATTGTTCAATTCCCACCTATGAGTGAGAATATGCGGTGTTTGGTTTTTTGTTCTTGCGATAGTTTACTGAGAATGATGATTTCCAGTTTCATCCATGTCCCTATAAAGTACATGAACTCATCATTTTTTATGGCTGCATAGTATTCCATGGTGTATATGTGCCACATTTTCTTAATCCAGTCTATCATTGTTGGACATTTGGGTTGGTTCCAAGTCTTTGCTATTGTGAATAGTGCCGCAATAAACATACGTGTGCATATGTCTTTACAGCAGCATGATTTACAGTCCTTTGGGTATATACCCAGTAATGGGATGGCTGGGTCAAATGGTATTTCTAGTTCTAGATCCCTGAGGAATCACCACACTGACTTCCACAATGGTTGAACTAGTTGACAGTCCCACCAACAGTGTAAAAGTGTTCCTATTTCTCCACATCCTCTCCAGCACCTGTTGTTTCCTGACTTTTTAATGATTGCCATTCTAACTGGTGTGAGATGTATCTCATTGTGGTTTTGATTTGCATTTCTCTGATGGCCAGTGATGATGAGCATTTTTTCATGTGTTTTTTGGCTGCATAAATGTCTTCTTTTGAGAAGTGTCTGTTCATGTCCTTTGCCCACTTTTTGATGGAGTTGTTTGTTTTTTTCTTGTAAATTTGTTTGAGTTCATTGTAGATTCTGGATATTAGCCCTTTGTCAGATGAGTAGGTTGCAAAAATTTTCTCCCATTTTGTAGGTTGCCTGTTCACTCTGATGGTAGTTTCTTTTGCTGTGCAAAATTTATAACTGTAAGTGCCTATATAAAAATCAGAAAAGCTGCAAATAAATAACCTAACAATACATCTTAATTCACTAGAATAAAAAGGCCAAACCAAACTCAAAATTAGAAGAAAAGAATAATAAAAATTAGAGCAGAAATAAAATGAAGAAAACAGTGCAAAAGATCAATGAAACAAAAAGTTGATTTTTTGAACAGTAAAACAATTGACAAATATTTAGACAGGCTAGCTAAAAAACAAAGATACAAATTAATAAAATCAAAGGTGAAAAAGGAGACTTTACAAGTAACGTTTCAGAAAATCAAAAGATCATTAGTGGCTACTATAAGTAATTGTATGCCAACAAATTAGAAAACCTAGAGGAAATTAATTCTTAGACACACACAACTTACCAAGAGTGAACTAGGAAAAAATCCAAAACCTGAACAGACCAATAACAAGTAACAAAATTAAAGCCATAATAAAAAAATGTCTATAGGACCAGACTGAAAAATAGAGAAGGAAAGAACATTTCCAAACTCATTCTTTGAGGCTGGTATTACAGTGATATTAAAACAAGACAAAGACACATTTAAAAAGCAAACTGCAGGCCCATATTTGAGAATATTGATGCAAAAATTTGCAAAAAACCTAGTAAATGCAATTAAACAATACATAAATAGGTAATTCATAATGACCAAGGGGAATTTATCCCAGAGATACAAGGATGGTTCAACATGCAAATCAGTCAATGTGATATATCATATAAACAGAATGAAGGGGCCAGGAGCAGTGGCTCACGCCTGTAATCCCAGCACTTTTGGAAGCCTAGGTAGGTGGATCACCTGAGTTCAGGAGTTCAAAACCAGCCTGGCCAACGTGGCAAAACCCCATATCTACTAAAAATACAAAAATTAGCCGGGTGCAGTGGTGGGCACCTGTAATCCCAGCTACTTGGAAGGCTGAGGCAGGAGAATCGCTTGAACCCGGGAGGCAGAGGTTGCAGTGAGCTGAGACCATGCCATTGCACTCCAGCCTGGGTGACAGAGGAAGACTTCATCTCAAAAAAAAGAAGGACAAAATCCATGTAATCATTTCCATTATGCTAAAAAAGTATTTGATAAAATTTAATATTCTTTAATAATAAACCCTTTGAAAACTGGGTATGGAATGAACATATCTGAACATAATAAAAGTCATATATGACAGACCCACAGCTAGTATCATACCAAGTGGGGAAAAACTAAAAGCCTTTCCTCTAAACTCTGGAAGATGACAAGAATATCCACTTTTACCACTGTTATTCAACATAATTCTGAAAGTCCTGTCTGGAGCAATCAGACAAGAGAAAGCAATAATAAAAGGCACCCCAGTTGGAAAAGAAGTCAAATTATTGTTTTTGCCAGTGATATAATCTTATATTTGGAAAAACATAAAGACTCCTCTGATAGGGTTTGAATGTGCGTCCCCTCCCAAATCTCATATTTAAATGTAATTCTCCATGTTGGAGGTGGGCCAGGTGATTTAACCATTGGGGTGGATTACTCATAAATGGCTTAGCACCATCCCACTTGGTACTATCTTCATGATAGTGAGTGAGTTCCCATAAGACCTGGTTATTTAAAAGTGTGTAACTCGCCCCTCTGTTTTCTGCTCCTGCTTTTTGCCCTGTGATGTGCAAGATTCTGCTTCAACTTTTGCCATGACTGTAAACTTCCAGAGGCCTTCCCAGAAGTGCATGCCAGTGCTGTGTCTTCTCTACAGCCTGTAGAATCATGAGCCACTTAAACCTCCTTTTTAAAAAATAAATTACCCAGTCTCAGGTATTTATAGTGATGGGGAAAAAGCTTAATACAGAAAATTGGCACAAAGGAGTGGAAAATTGTTATAAGAATACCTGAAAATGTGGAATCAGCTTTGTAATTGGGTAAACAGGCAGAGGTTGGAAGAGTTTGTAGCACTCAGAAGAAGACAGAAAAATGAGGGAAAGTTGAGATTTTCTTAATTTTGAATGGCTGTGACCAAAATGCTGATAGTGATCTGGACAGTGAAGGCTGAGCTGAGGAGGTCTCAGATGAAAATTAGAAAATTAGGACCGAAGCAAAGGTCATTCATGTTGTCTTAGCAAAGTGGTTGGCTGAATTTTTGTCATGCCCTAGGGATATATAAAAGTTTGAATTTGAAAGTGATGATTTAGGGTTTCTGTTGGAAAAATGTCTAAGCACCAAAGCGTTCAAGATGTGGCCTGGCTGCTTCTAACAACCTATGCTCACATGTTGGAGCAAAAAAAAGTAAGTTGTAATTTATTTTACTTGCAAGGGAAGCATAGGGTAAAAGCTTAAAAACTTTGCAGCCTAGTCATGTGGCAGAAAAATAAAAAGCTTTTACAAGAGAGGAACTTGAGCAGGCTGTGGAGCAATCACTTGTTAGAGATATTTGTATAACTTAAAAAAAAAGCAAGTGTTGATAGCCAAGACAATGGGAAAGAGGAATTGAAGGCATTTTAGAAATCTAAAAGGCAGCCCCCCATCACAGACCCTGAGGCCTAAAAGAAGAGAATAGTTTCTGGGATCAGGCCCAGGAACTGCTGCCTTGGGTAGCCTTAGAACATGGCTCCCTGCATCCTGGCCACTGCTTCAGCTCCAGGTGTAGCACAAATTGGCCCAGTTACAACTCCAGTCACTGCTTCAGAGGGTGCAAGCCATAAGCCTTTGTAGCTTTCATATGGTGTTAGGCCTGTGAGTGTACAAAATGCAAGAGTTGAGACTTGGGAGCCTCCACCTTTACTTCAAATAATGTATAAAAAAGCCAGGGTGTGCAGGCAGAAGCATGCTGCAGGGGTGGAGCCCTTATGAAGAACCTCTACTAAAACAATGCAGAGAAGAAATGTAGAGTTACAGTCCCCATGTGGGCTGCCTACTGGGGCATGGCCTAGTAGACCTGTGAGGAGAGGATCACTGTCCTCCAGACCCCAGAATGGTAGATCTAGCTACAGCTTGCACTTTGCACCTGGAAAAGCCAGAAGCACACAAAACCAGCCAGAGGCACACAATACCAGCCCATGAGAGCAGCTGTGGGGGCTGAACCATGCAAAGCCACAAGGTCTAAACGTCCCAAGGCATTAGTGTGCCCTGGAAATGGGACATAGAGTCAAAAATAATTATTTTAGAGCCTTAAAATTCAATAACTCCCCTTCTGGGTTTCAGACTTGCATGGGTCCTGTGGCCTCTTTCTTTTGGCTGATTTCTTCCTTTTAGAATAGGAATATTTACCCAATGCCTATGCCCCATTTTTATCTTGGAAGTACTTAATTTGGTTTTTATTTTACAGGCTTATAGGAGGAATAAACTAGCTTTGTCTTAGATGAGACTTTTGACTTTTGAGTTAAGGCTGAAATGAGTTAAGACTTCAGGGATTATTGGGATGTCATGATTGTATTTTGAAATATGAGAAGGATATGAGATTTGGAATGGCCAGGGGCAAAATGATATAGTTTAGGTGTGTGTTCCCACCAAAATCTTACATTGAAATGTAATCCTCAATGTTGGAAGTGGGCCTAGTGGGGAGGTGATTGAATCATGAGGGCAGGATTTCCATGAACAGTTTGGCATCATTTCCTTTGGAGCCATTCTCACAATAGTTAAGTTTTCATGAGACCTGGTTATCTACAAGTGCGTAGCACTTCCCCCCTGCCCTTGCACTTACCACGTGATGTGCAAGCACCGGATTTATTTTTCACCTTGATTGTCAGTTGTCAGAGGCTTCACCAGAAGCAGAAGCCAGTGCTGTGCTTTCTGTACAGCCTGTAGAACCATGAGCCAATGAAACCTATTTCCTTTATAAATTAACTAGTCACCGATTATTTTTACAGCAATGTGAGAATGGCCTAATATATCCATCAAAAAACTATTAGAAGTAATAACTTGAGTAAATTTGCATAATACAAAATCAACATGTACAAATCAGTAGGATTTCTATATGCCAACAGTCAACAAACTGGAAAAGAATTCAAAAAAGTAATCCTATTTGCAATAGCCACAAATAAAACAAAATGTGTGGGAATTTACCAAAGAAATAAAAGTTTTCAACAATTAAAAACGTAAAACACTGATAAAAGAAAGAGAAGACAAAAAAATGGAAAGTTATATCTATGTTCACAGATTGGAAGAATCAGTATTTTAAAAAATGTCCATGCGATCCAAAGCAATCTGTACTTTTCATGCCATCTGTATCAAAATAACAATGACATTCCTCACAGAAATAGAAAAAAAATCTGAAATATATATGGAACCACAAAACACCATAATAGTCAAAGCTATTCTGAGTATATAAACCAAAACTGGAGGAATCCCATTACCTGGTTTTAAATTATACTATCAAGCTATAGTAATTAAAACAGCATGACACTAGAATAAAAAGACATAAAGACAAATGGAATGAAATAGAGAACTTAGAAACAAACTCATACAGCTAAACTAAACTTATTTTGAACAAAAGTGTTGATAACATACAACAAAAAATAAGACAGTTTCTGTAATAAATAGGGCTGGGAAAACTGGCAAGCCATAGGCAGAAGAGTGAAACTGGAACCCTATTTCTTGCCACATACAAAAATCAAATTAAAATAAATTAAAAACTTAAACCTAACACCTCAAACTATCAAAATTTTACAAGAAAACACTGGGGAAACCCTTTAGGGCATGGTTTGAGCAAAAATTTCTTAAATAATGCCCCATAAGCACAGACAACCAAAGCAAACATGGACAAATGGAATTACAGCAGGTCAGAAAGCTTTTTTAAAGTGAAGGAAACAAAGTGAAGAGAAAACCCACAGAATGGGAGAAAATATTTGTGAATTACCTATCTGAAAAGCAATTAATAGCGATGTGATATGGTTAGCCTTTGTGTCCCCACCCAAATCTCATATTGAATTGTAATCCCCAGGTGTTGAGGGAGAGACCTGGTAGAAGGTGATTGGATCATGGGGTTGGTTCCCTCCAGGTTGTTCTTCTGACAATGAGTGAGTTCTCATGAGATCTGATGTTTTTATAAGGGGCTCTTCCCCCTTTGCTTCACATATATGCTCTCTCGCCTGCTGTCATGGAAGAGGTGCCTGCTTCCTCGTCCGCCATGACTGTAAGTTTCCTGAGGCCTCCCCAGCCATGTGGAACTGTGACTCAGTTAAATCTATTTCCTTTATAAATTACCCAGTCTCGCCAGGCGCAGTGGCTTATGCTTGTAATCCCAGCACTTTGGGAGGCAGCGGTGGGTGGATCACGAGGTCAGGAGTTCAAGACCAGCCTGGCCAAGATGGTGAAACGCCGTCTCTACTAAAAATACAAAACTTAGCTGGGCATCATGTCAGGTGCCTGTAATCCCAGCTACTCAAGAGGCTGAGGCAGAGAATTGCTTGAACCCAGGAGGTGGAGGTTGCAGTGAACCGAGATCATACCAATGCACTCCAGCCTGGGTGACAGAGCAAGACTTCATCTCAATACATAAATAGATAAATAACCCAGTCTCAGTTTTTTTATAGCAGTGCAGAAACAGACTAATACACTACAATATATTGAGTTCAAAACATTCTATAGAAAAAAATATAATAAAAGAGTGGACAAAAATTTAATTGGACATTTATGAAAATAAGACATACAAGTGGCAAATAGGCAAATAAAAAGGTGCTCCACATTACTGATCATCATAGAAATGCAAATCAAACCCAAAATGAGATATCATTTCACCTCAGTTAAGGTGGCTTTTATCCAGAAGTCAGTCAAAAACAAATGTTGCTAATAGCCAAGATTTGGAAGAAACCTAAATGTCCATCAACAGATGACTGGATAGAGAAAATGTGGTACATATACACAATGGAGTACTATTCAGCTATAAGAAAGAATGAGAGTCTGTCATTTGCAGTAACAGAAATGGAACTGAAAGTTTTTATGTTAAGTGAAATAAGTCAGGCACAGAAAGACAAATGTCACATGTTCTCACTCGTTTGTGGGCGCTAAAATTCAAAACAATTGATGTCATAGAGATAGAGAGTATAAGGTTGGTTACCAGAGGCTGGGAAGGGCAGTGGGGGAACGGGGTTAGTGGGGATGTGAAATGGGTACAAAAAATTGTTAGAAAGAATGAATAAGACAGTATTTGGTAGCAGAACAGGGTGATTATGGTAAAAAAATAATTTATACATTTTATAAAAACTAAAATAGTATAATTGGATTGTTTATAAAACAAGCTATAAATGCTTGAGGGGATGGATACCCTGTTTTTTATTGTGTATTACTGATTGCATGCCTGTATCAAAGTATGTCATGTACCCCCATAAATATATACACCAACTATGTACCCACAAAAATTAATTAAAAATTACAATTAAAACCAAAAGGAGGAGAGTCTAATGAGGCAGGTGTGACCCATGGCTTGAAGTAGCTTTTCAGGTTAACTTTGGAATGTCCTTATCCAAGAAGAGGTGTCCATTTAGTCAATAGGGGCTTAGAAATTAATTTTTAGTTTATAAGTGGAAAAAAGAAGAATTTTTAATCCTGAGCCATAGCTCTCAGTCAGTCAGTCCCTGCAGGGAACCCTGTTCTTTACTCTGGAGATAAACACTGTTTTTCTTTTCCACTGAATAACACCACATTTCAAAATGAGGGGAAACATCTTGAAACTAAGAGGTATGGCCTTACTAAATTTGTTTTGGTTTCCATTGTAATTAATTTAATCACATGTGTTCTAGAGTTTGTCCTCAGTCTTCTACTTTAGGCTCATGATCTGTTGAATTTGCTCAGCTCCCTGCTCAACAGCAGGAAATCAGAATTATTTAAAAGCCTCATTGTGGCTGGGAGCAGTGGCTCATGCCTGTAATCCCAGCAATTTGGGAGGCCAAGGTGGGCAGATCACTTGTTGTCAGGGGTTTGAGACCAGCCCGGCCAACAGAGTGAAACCCCATTTCTACTAAAGATACAAAAATTAGCTGGGTGTGGTGATTCATGCCTGTAATCCCAGCTACTTGGGAGGCTGAGGCAGGAGAATCACTTGAACCTGGGAGGCAGACGTTTCAGTAAGGCAAGATGGTGCACTGCACTCCAGCCTGGGCAACAGACCAAGACTCTGTCTCAAAATAATAATAATAAATAAAAATAAAAATCTCATGTTTCAAACAAAATTTCTTTTGCATATCAACTGTGTCAACTTGCATATTAACTATAATCATTTTGTTTACTTTATGTCCAATCCTGAGAAATCTTTGAGTACTAATTTCACTCTTTTCTGCCATTTTGGTAAACATACCAAATGCCATCAAACAAAATGCACAAAATTCCTGAGAAATACATTTTCTCCTTGAGGAGTATACTTGTTGTGTTAGAGGAACTCGTGGTTACCAAGCTTCTAGTTTAATACACATGACTAGAATTCTCTATCTTAATATGAGTAGCTAGGTACTCACAAGGCATCTAGAAGGTTAATACCTATGGTCTGAAAATAGCCACATTTTTTTACTGGCCACAGATTACAATTGCAGAATATTTATGGCCATACAAGACATCTTCCACCAAGCCTGAAAAATGTATAAATGTCCTAGGAGTGCAGCATTTTTTGTTAAAGATAATATTAACGAGCTAGCTTAGGTCAACGGGTTAATGGTCATTGTTAAAACGAATAGCCCCGACTTTAATGAGTACATCTGCACCTTCCAAGTTTAATTATAACTCTTTCTCTTTATAGTTAGAGACACTAACAAAAGACAATGCATTCCTGCTCTTGTTTTCTGAGGATGTCCAACTCTGTAATGGAGTCATTTCTAATAAACTTGCTTCTTTCACTGTGCTCTCTGACTCACCTCAAATTTTTTACTGCACAAGATCTAAGAATCCTACTTTGTGGTCTGTGTCAGGACCCTCTTTTCTAGCAACATCTTTCAGCAACACCATGAAGGGACACCAAGACAAGACCCCCACTCCAAGGAAAACAATCCACATAGAATCATTTAGCTGGCAAGTGGGCTGTGTTTTAGGGTCATGAAGCCATTCAGGTTGGCAAGAATGATTACCCACTATTACTTAAGTGAGAGGCCCTAGGGTATAATATTAGGGTGAGAGACTCAGCCCAAAGTAGAGACCTGGGGGTGTCATACTCAGATTAGAGGCCAAGCCCACAGGGTTAGAGGCCCTGGGGAACATTGAGAAGAATGGATTTGGCTAAACAAGATGTTTGCCACTTTCTCTTTTTGGACTGTCCACCTTGTGCTCTTTGTCCCTCACCTGAGTGCTCTGCATATTGTTGCCTTTCTGCTCACCGCCTCCGTTTTGCAGTAGCCTGGAGGCAGCCCCAGGAAAGAGGCCCCAAACAGTTTAGCTTTTACTTTCCTTAGCGATCCTCTGACTTTTAGCCTTGATGTCTTAGAGCTATTGCTGCTACCACTTTTCTAGTTGGCAAAGATAATAAACTAACATTAGAACAGCACCTACAGGTTTTTGACCCCACACCAAGGGAAGGTGGTCCTAGAAGGTAAAGGGCAGCAGTGGATAATAGGAGAATATTTATGAAAGTGTCAGGACTTATTGCTAGACCGACCCTCCAGACACAACCCTTAAAGCCTGCCAAGCCATAAACCCAGCTACTTAGCTGTCAGAGTCCACAGGTGCTTCTAGTCTTTCTGGCATACAGGCTGTATTAGTCTGTTCTTATGCTGCTAATAAAGACATATCTGAGGCTGGGTAATTTATAAAGAAAAGAGGTTTAATTGACTCACAGTTGCACATGGTCGGAGAGGCCTCACACTCATGGCAGAAGGCAGGTGAGGAACAAAGTTACATCTTCTACATGGCAGCAGGCAAAAGAGCTTGTGTAGGGAAACTCCCCTTTGTAAAATCATCAGCTGTAATCCCAGCACTTTGGGAGTCCAAGGCAGTGGATGACCTGAGGTGAGGAGATTGAGGCCAGCCTGGCCGACATGGTGAAACCTCGTCTATACTAAAAGTAGAAAAATTAGACAGGCATGGTGGTGGGCGCCTGTAATCCCAGCCACTCGGGAGGCTGAGACAGGAATCGCTTGAACCCAGCAGTCAGAGGTTGCACTCCAGCCTGAGCAACAGAGCAAGACTCTGTCTCAAAAATAAATAAATAAATAAACCATCAGATCTCATGAGGCTTATTCACTGTCATGAGAACAGCATGGGAAAGACCCATCCCCTGATTCAATTACCTCCCACTGGGTCCCTCCCACAATATATGGGAATTAGGGGAGCTACAATTCAAGATAAGATTTGACTGGGGACACAGCCAAAGCATGTCACAGGTTATGAAACAAATTGATTCTAGCAGGCCAGACATAAGAGAGATGATTCCCTGGACCATCCCAAGGAAGAGTGGTTAACAGATGCAAGTTGTTTTATGCATCAGGAAAACAGGAGGGCTAAATATGCTATTATTAGCACAAGAGAATCAATCAAGGCACAAGCCTTGCTGGCTTCGACCTCAGCAGCTCAAAAAGCTGAGTTAATTGAACTAACTAGGCCCCTGCAGTTGGGAAAGAATTTAAAAGTTAACATTTACACTGATTCCAAGTATGATTTTTTAGTGCTTCATGCTTATGCTGCAATTTGGAATGGGTGGGGACTCCTGACCCCCAAGGGCTTTTCCATACAACATCGTTCAGATTTTGAGCTTGTTAGAGTGCTGCTTTGCTGCCAAAAAGTGAGTATAATTAATTGCAGAGGACATCAAAAGAGAGACTGACCATGTAAAAGGAAATGCCCTTGTAGATGCCACAGCCAAGGCCCCTGCACTGAAAGGGCCAATGAAGCTTGTGGGCGTGCTGGTCAGCATACATAGAACTGGGCCAGAATACCCTGAAGAAGAACGAAAATGGGCCAGGGATTGCATTTCAGTCCAGGGCCCCTCGGGCTGAATGATGGTAATAAATTACTAATGCCAAGTACCAATCACAGGAGTATAACTCAGCACTTTCATGATTCTTTTCACCCTAGAAGGGATTCTTTGTTTCTGTTAATGTCTCATTTGTTTATAGGGGTAAATCTTTTCAAGACACTAAAACAGGTGACTCAGCCCTGTGAGCTTTGTGCCTGACATGACTCAAATGGCCAGCAATTTTCTCCTTCTCCAGTTAAACCTGTCCAAAATTGAGGAACCTATCCAGGTGAGAACTGGCCACTCTAATTTACCCGGAAGCCTTTCTGCAGGAGATTCAAATATTTGCTAATGCTTACTGACACCTTCACTGGTTAGATCGAGGCATTCCCCACCCCATCTGAAAAATGTTTACCAGAAGAAATAACTCCTCAGTTTGGGTAATCCAAAAGCCTGCAAAGTGACAATGGCCCATCTTTCACAGCAGGCGTATCCCAAAACCTGTCCTCAGCTTTAAGAATCCAATATGACCTTCACTCTGCTGGAGACCACAGTCCTCTGGAAAGGTGAAAGGGCTAACCCTACTCTAAAGAAGACTCCAGCTAAATCAGAGGCCTGACTGTCTCTAACACCCATAGCTTATTGTGGGTTAGAACTGCTCCAAAGTAAAACGTATAATTGAGTCCTGTTGAGTTCACATGTGGAAGGCCTTTCCTAACCACAGATCTCCTAATAGATGAAAAGACTCATCAATTACAAAAATATGTCATCAATCTAGGACAGGTGCAAAGGCACTCCGTGCATATGGAAACAAGAGTCTTCCCCTCCCACATGGGAGGAAAATTCAGTTTCAGCTCAGCTAGGGATTTAGTCTTACTAAAGACGCGGGAGGAAGTTCTCCAGCGAGCAGCTTTCCCCAACGTGGAAAGGACCACGCAAGGACACCTGAGCTTTCCAACAGATGTTCAGCGCCAGGGGATCCACAGGTGGGTGCACCTGTGTGGAAGTAAAGCTGTTGCTTATTCTGGGAGCCGAATCCGAGGCGGAGGGAGGTGGGCGCGGGGCTATTTAAACGTTGGCGGAGGGCGGGCTGGGTCGCTGCGCGTCTGCTCCTCCTTCTCACGTTTCTCCTGCCGTCCTAATCCCGCCTTGGCCATGAGGGAGATCGTGCTCACGCAGATCGGGCAGTGCGGGAATCAGATCGGCGCCAAGGTTGGCAGCCGGGGCTCTGAGGGCCTAGCCCGGGCCTGCCGGGTGGCCGGGGAAGGTGTTGGCAGTGGCGGGGGCGGTGCCCATGCATTGCGGCCCCTGGGCTCCCTGCCGGGGACGGTGGAACCGGGTGGCTGGCGAGGCGGCCGGGGTGGACCCCAGGGACAGGGCGGCCTAGGGATGGGGGTGCGGATGAGGGTGGGGGTGGGAGAGCGGCTGGGGCGCCTCCCTGACTCAGCCCCGGCCTGTCTGTCTCCTCCCGTCTCTTGCAGTTCTGGGAGGTGATCTCTGATGAACATGCCATCGACTCCGCTGGCACCTACCACGGGGACAGCCACCTGCAGCTGGAGCGCATCAACGTGTACTACAACGAGGCCAGCGGTGAGACCCCCGTCCTTCCCCCACCGCCCTCCTGGGAACGCGGCCCTCCCCTCGCTCATGCCCTCCCGCCCCACGCAGGTGGCAGGTACGTGCCCCGCGCTGTGCTCGTGGATCTGGAGCCGGGCACCATGGACTCTGTGCGCTCGGGGCCCTTCGGGCAGGTCTTCAGGCCAGACAACTTCATCTTCGGTGAGCTGCGGGCGAGGACTGGGGTGCGGCTCCTTAGCCAGGGCAGCTCAAAATCCAGGAGTGTGCTAAGGTCATCCTCTGGGAACTGTGGAGCTAGGGCCCCTGAACACCCTCCTATCCTCCGAGTCGAGTCGCTCAATCTGCCTCTCCTAAATGGGCTTCGGGAGGAAGGCCCTGGTGTCTCCTCAAGGTGAGGAGTTACTGATGTAAACTCCCTGCAAGAACCTGAGCTGGGGCCGTGGCTACTGCCTTTCCTGAGAATGGGCAGGAGCCACCTGCAGCGAGGTCTGTGAACCCGTCTCAGGTTTGACTCCTGTCTTAATTCCTAACAGGGGAAGCTGCTGTCCTGTAACTCTGGGGGAGGGGGTTTCATCTGCTCCACCTGCAGGGCGAACGGTGCTCTCACCTCACGTGTGACGCTTGGCTCTTTCTGCATTATGGTGGTGACCACTGATGACCGTATACCTGGCCGTCGAGTGACCGGCTGTGCTGTCTTACAGGTCAGTGTGGGGCCGGAAACAACTGGGCCAAGGGACACTACACCGAAGGCGCGGAGCTGATGGAGTCAGTGATGGACGTTGTCAGAAAGGAGGCTGAGAGCTGTGACTGCCTGCAGGGTTTCCAGCTGACCCACTCCCTGGGTGGGGGGACTGGGTCTGGGATGGGTACCCTTCTGCTCAGTAAGATCCGGGAGGAGTACCCAGACAGGATCATAAACACATTCAGCATCCTGCCCTCGCCCAAGGTGTCGGACACCGTGGTGGAGCCCTACAACGCCACCCTCTCAGTCCACCAGCTCATAGAAAACGCAGATGAGACCTTTTGCATAGATAACGAAGCTCTGTATGACATATGTTCCAAGACCCTAAAACTGCCCACACCCACCTATGGTGACCTGAACCACCTGGTGTCTGCTACCATGAGTGGGGTCACCACGTGCCTGCGCTTCCCGGGCCAGCTGAATGCTGACCTGCGGAAGCTGGCCGTGAACATGGTCCCGTTTCCCCGGCTGCATTTCTTCATGCCCGGCTTTGCCCCACTGACCAGCCGGGGCAGCCAGCAGTACCGGGCCTTGACTGTGGCTGAGCTTACCCAGCAGATGTTTGATGCTAAGAACATGATGGCTGCCTGTGACCCCCGTCACGGCCGCTACCTAACGGCGGCTGCCATTTTCAGGGGTCGCATGCCCATGAGGGAGGTGGATGAACAAATGTTCAACATTCAAGATAAGAACAGCAGTTACTTTGCTGACTGGCTCCCCAACAACGTAAAAACAGCCGTCTGTGACATCCCACCCCGGGGGCTAAAAATGTCAGCCACCTTCATTGGGAATAATACGGCCATCCAGGAACTCTTCAAGCGTGTCTCAGAGCAGTTTACAGCAATGTTCAGGCGCAAGGCCTTCCTCCACTGGTACACGGGCGAGGGCATGGATGAGATGGAATTCACCGAGGCCGAGAGCAACATGAACGACCTGGTGTCTGAATATCAGCAATATCAGGATGCCACGGCCGAGGAGGAGGAGGATGAGGAGTATGCCGAGGAGGAGGTGGCCTAGAACTCTCCTTTTCTAGGTAAAGGGGGGAAGCAGTGTGGATTCTTTACTGTGTTCTGACAGCCATGTGTCACTATACGCTTGTTAATTTGTGTCTTCACATCTCCTGCTGCGTTTTAAAGCATTTTTATAGTATGCGGTTTTGACTAATAAAGTATTCTCACAGCATCTGGTTTTGCCTCCATCTTCTTTCTATGGGCCCTCTGGCTACTGCTGCCAGATGCGCATAGTTGTCCTGCAAGGCGGAAGCTGTCTGGGTTCATCACATGCCCAGGAACAAGCATTCCAGTGGCTCCAGGAGGGGTCGGTATGGGCTGTGGACATGGCAGGCAGGCTTCACATGAACTTGGGGATGCCCTGGGCCTTGGGCAGTGACGTGGTGGAAAACCTGTTGCTGAAGGCAAGCCTTGGCTTATCCCATATACCAAACTTCTAGGGGACCAGCTGGCCATGTTTCTGGAACGTTAAAAGGGGTCAGTGACCCTGGTGGACAATGTCCCCAGAGTCCCATCTCAGGGTAGGAATGTGGTCAGAGCTGGCTCTGAACCAGCAATGAAGGGTGGGCAAGTGGGACCCCAGGCACTCCATCATCACGATGGCCTGGGTGTGTTTGTGTGGCCTCATTCTCTTAATGAGGTGGGCATGGGATGTCTGGCAGGGACTAGGCAGGAATCAAGCCCAGTGTCTGCTAACATGCACTGAATCCCAAGTAGAAGGGGATTAGGTCCTGGGGGCCGTAGATGGTGGTTGCTGGGCCTGTGTGCGCAGGGCAGTCCCTCCAAAGGCACAGATGGGGTTTCTGAACAGGAGCTGGGGAGACAGGCAGGTGCTCACAAATACTGCTTCCCCCAACTGGCAACCAGTGAGAAAAATGCCTGAGTGGAGGTCTGACCTGCCCCAGTCTGGAGGGCTGATGCTCTCTGGAAAGGTGGCTAATGTGTACTGTCTGCTCTCTCCCTGTCCCCCACTCCAAAACTTCAGGGCAAAAATAATCCAAGATTGTCAGGATGAGCCTGGTGAGGGTGGCACCTTTGGGGACAGACCCTTCAGCCTGGCAGAGTCTCCTCCCCTGGCTTCTTGGGGAGCCTGGACTGCAAAGCCTGCTTTGGGGAAGCTGTCAAATGAGAGATGTGTGAGCTGGGTGCTGGGACGCATGCACGGACAGTGTTCTCCCTGGCTCTTGTAGAACTTGTCCACGGCCTGTGTGATGGTCTCCTGGTAATTCCCACCCCCACCCCCAGCCCTATCGCACAGATAAGATGAAGCCAGCATAGCCTTGGGGGTGGGCAGATGAACAGGCTCTACCCCAGGTCCCCTGGGAATGCCCATCTGCCTCCTACGTGTCAGGGAAAACAGGTGAGGCCCCTTCTTGTTCTCTGAATGTTGTCAATGGTCTATTGCAGCCAAATGGGAACAGGCAGGCAGGAGAGTCTCATCTCGAAAGAAGTGGCTCCTGGAAGCAGCTGGGAGGTGGGAGAGGTCCCCCATACTCCCCCATACTCCCCCACACTCCCCCATACTCGCCCAACCTGTTCTAAGAGCAGGAAAAGGGGCCTCTGTGACAGCCCTCCTCAGTGGCTCTCACTGTCTGAGGGGTGTCCTTGCCCAACCCAGGTGCACACCCATCTGAGATGGTCTCGCATGGACCTGGTTAGGAAGGTTCAGCTGCAGCAACCACTGGAACCTGCCCACACCTGGTGTCTCCACTCACGTGTGGGGCTAGATGTTCCTCCCTCCTGTAGTGGTACAGCCAGACTGGCAGAGGGGGCAAGTCACCACTGCAGTTCCCACCTGGGTCTGAGGGGGGTTCAGGCTTGGTGCCCATGTATTTCCCAATTACCTGGTTCCATCTGGGGGCTTCATGGACAGGAATGGTGCTTTTCCAGGCCTCTTTTCCACATGCCAGCTACAGGCCCAGGTTTCCCAAGTTTCTGGAGCCCCTCTTCCAGCCTGGCAAGCAAGGCGTGTTGTAGGGGAAAGACATCAAGCCTACAGGCAGCAGAACCTGTCTGGGTATATTCTCTCAACCTGGAGGCCCCTGGTTGTTTACCTCTTTGGGTGAGAGTCGGCTTAGGATCTCAACATTCTTGTAGGACTTCAGAACTGTACAGACAGGGGCCCAGGAGGGAACAGGGGCTGGGACTGGCAGCTAACCAGAGTGGTGGGGGTTGTAGGGCTCAGTTTGGTCTTGCAGGGAATTCAGGGAGGCTTGGATTTGCTGAAGCTCTAGAAGAGCTTGGGCTTGGATACGGAAACAGCATAGAGCAGGGGCCCTTCTGCACACTGGACTCTGAGTAGTTGCACCCTGGTGCATCCATAGGTGTTCCCCACCTGGAACACAGCTTTGGATAGAAGCCAGGAGAGCTGTGGAGGGAAGAGGAGGAGGAGGAGGGAGTCTCAGGACAGCCCCAGCATCCAGGCAGGGCCTCTGCAAGTTAGATGCAGATCCAGCCTGTTGGCCACTTAGCAGCTGCTTGGTTGGCTGCAGATCACCTGACCTCTGTTCACCAGTAAATGGGGGTTGCAGCAGCACTTACCTTCTGGGACTCCTGCAGCTTGAAGGGGCAGCACACACCACGTGCTGAGAAAGCGCCGAACTCAAGCAAGCTTCTCCAAGAGCACCACATCAGATTAACACCCAACCTGTACAGGACACCATCAAATCTCCCCACTCCTCATTCCAATGGAAGAAAAGGGAGTCTCTGTCCTAGGGGAGCAAGCACAGGCCTATCTATGCAGTGGGCACATGGCCCAGGTGGGGGAAAGGCCCTTGGATACGTGCTGGTTTCACCAACCATGCGTGGATTGGGTTTGGCCTGGACCCCTGTACCCCAGGAGGCCGGCAGCCCCCTGCATGGGAGAGGACTGGGAGGTGGGTGGGAGGGCTGAGCTTTGAGGGAAGCCATTATTTGGCCTCATGGGAAGTGGTGCAGGTGGTTGTTGGTGGCTCAGTTCTGCAGGACCTGGGTGATCACCCAAGGAGTGAAAATTGCCTTTTTATGAGAAATTGCCAAAATTGATGTAAGCTCATCAGTTGAAAAGGTGAGTAATGCTGACAGTTGGCTTCACCTGCCCCTTCCCCACAAGTAACTAGTGTTCAGAGGTGGATTTGGTTCCTTCCAAGCCTTTCCCATTTGCATATAGCTGTGTGCATGTACTTTTGTGTGTACACATACACGTTCCCTGGAGGGGTTACTTTTATTTTTTTATTTGGGGGGATAACTAGTGAGGCAGCCTGACACTTGCTGATCTTGTCTTTTAAGTGTGGAGTCCTCTATGGAGTGGGCATCAGGTACTTCCTAGCTGGCCTCTGCCAGCTGTTTGGCTGCCCCAGTTTCTGCCCTTCACAGACATGCCGGCCACCTGCTGTGACATTCAGTGGCCTTGTTTGCAGCTAGTGTGATGAGACAAGTGGATCAGGTACATTATAAACTGAAAAAGCACACAACATGCAGAGGGAAAGGATAAATGACCATGTGTGTACTGCTCTGCTGAAGTCCACATCACATGACTGAGATGACAAACATTTTTTCACCTAACATTTGGGCCCTGAGAAATGGCATCTATGTTTTACTTTTTATTTATGACAGAGTTAGAAGAAATACTACCAGGCTTTCTTTTCCATTTTCCCCAACTCCCACTTTACCCCCTCAATTTTACCTACCTCAGAGAGAAAGTGGAGCTCGCCTGGTTAATGACAGCCTGAAATTATTTGAGCCAGGTCACTGTGTAAAGGTCATACTGCTTCCGTTTCCTTGTGCATCACTTGCGCAGCTCACGTATTTCATAGCTCCCTGTATACAGGTAGATGTGTTGCCCTCCTAGCCGCTTTCTTGGTTTGATACATGCCTGAGATCATGTGGGAGCACTTAAGGTCTAGGCTCATGGGAAGACAGTTCTGCCCACCCCAGCTCATCTCTCCAGCTCAGCCTGCATGCCTGCCTTCCTCCATCTGATTCCAGAGTGGGGGATGGGAGGTCTCACACTGATCTCAAGTTTATGTGACTTTTTCCACCTCTGCTTTCCCAGACAGCCCTTGCTGTGGGACTTGTAAGGAGATTTGTGAAGTCAGTATCTACTTTTCTTGTGTGGGAGTTTTATAAATTAGAGCCCTGTAGGGGAATAAATGTTAGAGGTACTCCAAACCCCTAACATATAAATATCTAAGCCTGGCCCTTTTTTGGTGGTAAAATATATACAACATAAAACTTACCATTTTAACCATGTTTAAACGTACAGTTGAGTGGTCCAATATAATGTGTTGTACAACCATCTCCTTTATCCATATCTACAACTTCTTTTTCATCCTAAACTGAAACACCAAACCCATAAATAAGTCTTTGAATAGAAGACTGATGCATTTGACTCCATAAAAATTAAAACTTTATAGGCAAGAAAAATGCATCAAAGTCAAAAGTCAACAGACTGGGGAAACAGATCTGCAACATACATGACAGACAAAAAGCTAATTTGTGTAATATATATGTATATATATAGCTATATAGCTATCCTAAATTATTAAAAGACCAACAGCCAAATTGAAAAATGGACAAGGGACGTAAAGAAACAGTTCAAAGAAACATGTAGATTTTTAAATATTTGCTAATTTTTTTTCTGTGGTGAAATATGTATAAGAGAAAATTTAAGTACATTAAGTAGAAATACATTGTTGTGCAACTATCACCAGTATCCATTCCAAACCTGTGTTATCATCCCAAAGTGAAACTCTGTATCCACGGAACAATAGCTCCCCTTTCCCTTCCCCCCATCCCCTGGAAACCACATCCTACTTTCTGTGTCTATGAATTTAACTGCTCTAGGTACACTATAAAAGTGGAAAGCATGGAGTATTTGCATTTTTTTGTTTTAATGTTTTCAAGGTTTATGTTGTAGCATGTATTAGAATTTCTTTTCTTTTTAAGGCTGAATAATATTGTGTGTATCAATCATATTTGCTTATCCATTCATCTGTAGATGGAGATTTGGGCTTTTTCTACCCTTTGGCTCTTGTGAATGCTGCTATAAACATGGGTGTACAAATTCCCACTTTCAGTTTTTTGGGGTATATACCCAGATGTGGGATTACTGGATCATATGGTGATTACTGTTTTCCACAGTGGCTGTGCCATCTTACTTTCCCACCAGCAGTGTGCAGGAGTCCTGACTTCTCCACATCCAGCATTTGCTGTTCTCTGGGGCTTTGTTGTTTTGCTTTGCTGGTGGGGTTTTTTTGATGGCAGCTATGCTTACATGTGTCAGTTGGTATTGCATTGTGGTTTGGATTTACTTTTTTCTCATGATTAGTGATGCTGAGCACCTTATCCTGTGCTTACTGGTCATTTGCATATCTTCTTTAGAGAAATGTGTATTTTAAAACCTTTGCTCATGTTTAAATTTGATTGTTTTGTTGTTGTTGCTGAGGTCTTTATATAGCCCGGATATTAATTACTTACCAAATACATAATGTGTGAATATTTTCTTTCCCTTCATGAATTTATTTTTAATCTATTTTTTTAATTTTTAAAAATTTATTTATTTATTTATTATTTTTTATGTTATATATATATTTTTTCTTTTATTATTATACTTTAAGTTTTAGGGTACATGTGCACATTGTGCAGGTTATTTACATATGTATACATGTGCCACGCTGGTGCACTGCACCCACTAACTGGTCATCTAGCATTAGGTATATCTCCCAATGCTATCCCTCCCCCCTCCCCCCACCCCACAACAGTCCCCAGAGTGTGATGTTCCCCTTCCTGTGTCCATGTGATCTCATTGTTCAATTCCCACCTATGAGTGAGAATATGCGGTGTTTGGTTTTTTGTTCTTGCGATAGTTTACTGAGAATGATGATTTCCAGTTTCATCCATGTCCCTACAAAGGACATGAACTCATCATTTTTTATGGCTGCATAGTATTCCATGGTGTATATGTGCCACATTTTCTTAATCCAGTTTATCATTGTTGGACATTTGCGTTGGTTCCAAGTCTTTGCTATTGTGAATAGTGCCGCAATAAACATACGTGTGCATGTGTCTTTATAGCAGCATGATTTACAGTCCTTTGGGTATATACCCAGTAATGGGATGGCTGGGTCAAATGGTATTTCTAGTTCTAGATCCCTGAGGAATCGCCACACTGACTTCCACAATGGTTGAACTAGTTGACAGTCCCACCAACAGTGTAAAAGTGTTCCTATTTCTCCACATCCTCTCCAGCACCTGTTGTTTCCTGACTTTTTAATGATTGCCATTCTAACTGGTGTGAGATGGTATCTCATTGTGGTTTTGATTTGCATTTCTCTGATGGCCAGTGATGATGAGCATTTTTTCATGTGTTTTTTGGCTGCATAAATGTCTTCTTTTGAGAAGTGTCTGTTTGTGTCCTTTGCCCACTTTTTGATGGGGTTGTTTGTTTTTTTCTTGTAAATTGGTTTGAGTTCATTGTAGATTCTGGATATTAGCCCTTTGTCAGATGAGTAGGTTGCAAAAATTTTCTCCCATTTTGTAGGTTGCCTGTTCACTCTGATGGTAGTTTCTTTTGCTGTACAGAAGCTGTTTAGTTTAATTAGATCCCATTTGTCAATTTTGGCTTTTGTTGCCATTGCTTTTGGTGTTTTAGACATGAAGTCCTTGCCCATGCCTATGTCCTGAATGGTATTGCCTAGGTTTTCTTCTAGGGTTTTTATGGTTTTAGGTCTAACGTTTAAGTCTTTAATCCATCTTGAATTGATTTTTGTATAAGGTGTAAGGAAGGAATCCAGTTTCAGCTTTCTACATATGGCTAGCCAGTTTTGCCAGCATCATTTATTAAATAGGGAATCCTTTCCCCATTGCTTGTTTTTCTCAGGTTTGTCAAAGATCAGATAGTTGTAGATATGCGGCATTATTTCTGAGGGCTCTGTTATGTTCCATTGATCTATATCTCTGTTTTGGTACCAGTACCATGCTGTTTTGGTTACTGTAGCCTTGTAGTATAGTTTGAAGTCAGGTAGTGTGATGCCTCCAGCTTTGTTCTTTTGGCTTATGATTGCCTTGGCAATGCGGGCTCTTTTTTGGTTCCATATGAACTTTAAAGTAGTTTTTTCCAATTCTGTGAAGAAAGTCATTGGTAGCTTGATGGGGATGGCATTGAATCTGTAAATTACCTTGGGCAGTATGGCCATTTTCACGATATTGATTCTTCCTACCCAAGAGCATGGAATGTTCTTCCATTTGTTTGTATCCTCTTTTATTTCATTGAGCAGTGGTTTGTAGTTCTCCTTGAAGAGGTCCTTCACATCCCTTGTAAGTTGGATTCCTAGGTATTTTATTCTCTTTGAAGCAATTGTGAATGGGAGTTCACTCATGATTTGGCTCTCTGTTTGTCTGTTGTTGGTGTATAGGAATGCTTGTGATTTTTGTACATTGATTTTGTATCCTGAGACTTTGCTGAAGTTGCTTATCAGCTTAAGGAGATTTTGGGCTGAGACAATGGGGTTTGCTAGATATACAATCGTGTCATCTGCAAACAGGGACAATTTGACTTCCTCTTTTCCTAATTGAATACCCTTTATTTCCTTCTTCTGCCTAATTGCCCTGGCGAGAACTTCCAACACTATGTTGAATAGGAGTGGTGAGAGAGGGCATCCCTGTCTTGTGCCAGTCTTCAAAGGGAATGCTTCCAGTTTTTGCCCATTCAGTATGATATTGGCTGTGGGTTTGTCATAAATAGCTCTTATTATTTTGAGATACATCCCATCAATACCTAATTTATTGAGAGTTTTTAGCATGAAGGGTTGTTGAATTTTGTCAAAGGCCTTTTCTGCATCTATTGAGATAATCATGTGGTTTTTGTCTTTGGCTCTGTTTATATGCTGGATCGCATTTATTGATTTGTATATATTGAACCAGCCTTGCATCCCAGGAATGAAGCCCACTTGATCATGGTGGATAAGCTTTTTGATGTGCTGCTGGATTTTTTTTGCAAGTATTTTATTGAGGATTTTTGCACCAATGTTCATCAAGGATATTGGTCTAAAATTCTCTTTTTTGGTTGTGTCTCTGCCAGGCTTTGGTATCAGAATCATGCTGGCCTCATAAAATGAGTTAGGGAGGATTCCCTCTTTTTCTATTGATTGGAATAGTTTCAGAAGGAATGGTACCAGTTCCTCCTTGCACCTCTGGTAGAATTCGGCTGTGAATCCATCTGGTCCTGGACTCTTTTTGGTTGGTAAGCTATTGATTATTGCCACAATTTCAGATCCTGTTATTGGTCTATTCAGAGATTCAACTTCTTCCTGGTTTAGTCTTGGGAGAGTGTATGTGTTGAGGAATTTATCCATTTCTTCTAGATTTTCTAGTTTATTTGCGTAGAGGTGTTTGTATTATTCTCTGATGGTAGTTTGTATTTCTGTGGGATCGGTGGTGATATCCCCTTTATTATTTTTTTATTGCATCTATTTGATTCTTCTCTCTTTTTTTCTTTATTATTCTTGCTAGTGGTCTATCTATTTTGTTGATCCTTTCAAAAAACCAGCTCCTGGATTCATTAATTTTTTGAAGGGTTTTTTGTGTCTCTCTTTCCTTCAGTTCTGCTCTGATTTTAGTTATTTCTTGCCTTCTGCTAGCTTTTGAATGTGTTTGCTCTTGCTTTTCTAGTTCTTTTAATTGTGATGTTAGGGTGTCAATTTTGGATCTTTCCTGCTTTCTCTTGTGGGCATTTAGTGCTGTAAATTTCCCTCTACACACTGCTTTGAATGCGTCCCAGAGATTCTGGTATGTTGTGTCTTTGTTCTCCTTGGTTTCAAAGAACATCTTTATTTCTGGCTTCATTTTGTTATGTACCCAGTAGTCATTCAGGAGCAGGTTGTTCAGTTTCCATGTAGTTGAGTGGTTTTGAGTGAGATTGTTAATCCTGAGTTCTAGTTTGATTGCACTGTGGTCTGAGAGATAGTTTGTTATAATTTCTGTTCTTTTACATTTGCTGAGGAGAGCTTTACTTCCAAGTATGTGGTCAATTTTGGAATAGGTGTGGTGTGGTGCTGAAAAAAAATGTATATTCTGTTGATTTGGGGTGGAGAGTTCTGTAGATGTCTATTAGGTCTGCTTGGTGCAGAGCTGAGTTCAATTCCTGGGTATCCTTGTTGACTTTCTGTCTTGTTGAGCTGTCTAATGTTGACAGTGGGGTGTTAAAGTCTCCCATTATTAATGTGTGGGAGTCTAAGTCTCTTTGTAGGTCACTCAGGAGTTGCTTTATGAATCTGGGTGCTCCTGTATTGGGTGCATATATATTTAGGATAGTTAGCTCTTCTTGTTGAATTGATCCCTTTACCATTATGTAATGGCCTTCTTTGTCTCTTTTGATCTTTATTGGTTTAAAGTCTGTTTTATCAGAGACTAGGATTGCAACCCCTACTTTTTTTGTTTTCCATTTGCTTGATAGATCTTCCTCCATCCTTTTATTTTGAGTCTATGTGTGTCTCTGCACGTGAGATGGGTTTCCTGAATACAGCACACTGATGGGTCTTGACTCTTTATCCAATTTGCCAGTCTGTGTCTTTTAATTGGAGCATTTAGTCCATTTACATTTAAAGTTAATATTGTTATGTGTGAATTTGATCCTGTCATGATGATGTTAGCTGGTTATTTTGCTCGTTAGTTGATGCAGTTTCTTCCTAGTCTCGATGGTCTTTACATTTTGGCATGATTTTGCAGTGGCTGGTACCGGTTGTTCCTTTCCATGTTTAGTGCTTCCTTCAGGAGCTGTTTTAGGGCAGGCCTGGTGGTGACAAAATCTCTCAGCATTTGCTTGTCTGTAAAATATTTTATTTCTCCCTCACTGATGAAGCTTAGTTTGGCTGGATATGAAATTCTGGGTTGAAAATTCTTTTCTTTAAGAATGTTGAATATTGGCCCCCACTCTCTTCTGGCTTGTAGGGTTTCTGTTGAGAGATCAGCTGTTAGTCTGATGGGCTCCCCTTTGAGGGTAACCCGACCTTTCTCTCTGGCTGCCTTTAACATTTTTTCCTTCATTTCAACTTTGGTGAATCTGACAATTATGTGTCTTGGAGTTGCTCTTCTCGAGGAGTATCTTTGTGGTGTTCTCTGTATTTCCTGAATCTGAATGTTGGCCTGCCTTGCTAGATTGGGGAAGTTCTCCTGGATAATATCCTGCAGAGTGTTTTCCAACTTGGTTCCATTCTCCCTGTCACTTTCAGGTACACCAATCAGACGTAGATTTGTTCTTTTCACATAGTCCCATATTTCTTGGAGGCTTTGCTCATTTCTTTTTATTCTTTTTTCTCTAAACTTCCCTTCTCGCTTCATTTCATTCATTTCATCTTGCATCGCTGATACCCTTTCTTCCAGTTGATCGCATCGGCTCCTGAGCCTTCTGCATTCTTCACGTAGTTCTCGAGCCTTGGTTTTCAGCTCCATCAGCTCCTTTAAGCACTTCTCTGTATTGGTTATTCTAGTTATACATTCTTCTAAATTTTTTTCAAAGTTTTCAACTTCTTTGCCTTTGGTTTGAATGTCCTCCCGTAGCTCAGAGTAATTTGATCGTCTGAAGCCTTCTTCTCTCAGTTCATCAAAGTCATTCTCCATCCAGCTTTGTTCCATTGCTGGTGAGGAACTGCATTCCTTTGGAGGAGGAGAGGCGCTCTGCTTTTTAGAGTTTCCAGTTTTTCTGTTCTGTTTTTTCCCCGTCTTTGTGGTTTTATCTACTTTTGGTCTTTGATGACGGTGATGTACAGATGGGTTTTTGGTGTGGATGTCCTTTCTGTTTGTTAGTTTTCCTTCTAACAGACAGGACCCTCAGCTGCAGGTCTGTTGGAGTACCCTGCCATGTGAGGTGTCAGTGTGCCCTGCTGGGGGGTGCCTCCCAGTTAGGCTGCTCAGGGGTCAGGAGTCAGGGACCCACTTGAGGAGGCAGTCTGCCCATTCTCAGATCTCCAGCTGTGTACTGGGAGAACCACGGCTCTCTTCAAAGCTGTCAGAGAGGGACATTTAAGTCTGCAGAGGTTACTGCTTTTTGTTTGTCTGTGCTCTGCCCCCAGAGGTGGAGCCTACAGAGGCAGGCAGGCCTCCTTGAGCTGTGGTGGGCTCCACCCAGTTCGAGCTTCCTGGCTGCTTTGTTTACCTAAGCAAGCCTGGGCAATGGCGGGCACCCCTCCCCCAGCCTCGCTGCCACCTTGCAGTTTGATCTCAGACGGTTGTGCTAGCGATCAGCGAGACTCCATGGGCGTACGACCCTCCCAGCCAGGTGTGGGATATAATCTCATGGTGCGCCGTTTTTTTAAGCCCGTCAGAAAAGCACAGTATTCGGGTGGGAGTGACCCGATTTTCTAGGTGCTGTCTGTCACCCCTTTCTTTGACTAGGAAAGGGAACTCCCTGACCCCTTGCGCTTCCCGAGTGAGGCAATGCCTCACCCTGCTTCGGCTTGTGCACGGTTCGTGCACCCACTGACCTGCGCCCACTGTCTGGCACTCCCTAGTGAGATGAACCCAGTACCTCAGATGGAAAAGCAGAAATCACCCGTCTTCTGCATCGCTCACGCTGGGAGCTGTAGACCAGAGCTGTTCCTATTCCATTTTCAATCTATTGATTGTGTCTTCAGATACATAACAGCTTGTCACTTTGATGAAGTTCTTTTTATGTATTTTTGGTGTTGTTGTTGTCTGTGCTTTCACTGTCATATCCAAGAAATTATTGCCAGATTCTATGTTATGAAACATTTTTCCTATGTTTCTTCTAAGGGTTTTATAGTTTTAGCTCTTACAATTAGATGTTTAGTCCATTTTAAATTAAGTTTTTTATATGGTGTAAAATAAGGCTCCAACTGTATTGTTTTCCATGTAAATATTCATTCTTAACACCGTTTAAAAATATACTGTCCTTTCCCCATAGTTTTGACTCCCTTGTTAAAAATCATGACTGTGTTTTTTGGTTCTTTATTTCTATTGCATTGGTCTTTATGTCTGTCTCTATGGTGGTACAGCATTGTTTTGGGTACTGAAGCATTGCAGTAAGTTTGAAACCAGGAGGTGTTAGTCCTCTAATTTTGTTAGTTTTTAAGATTGATTTGGCTACTTGGGGTTTTTTGAGATTTCATCTGAATTTTAGAATAGGTTTTTGTATTTTTGCAAATATTGGAATCTTTATAGTGATTTTATTGAATCTGTAGATGACTATTGATAACAATGGAATCTTGATGAGGTTTTGTCTTCCAGTCCATAAACACATGATGTCTTTTCATTTATTTGTGTTATCTTTAATACTTTCCTGCAATGTTTATACTTTTGCTGTACAGGTTTCTCATTTCCTTGGTTAAATTGGTTTCTAAGTATTTTATTCTTTTGATGCTATCATAAATGATACTGTTGTCTTGATTTCTTCTTCAGATGGTTTGTTATTGTAGAAATACGACCGATTTTTGTGTGTTGATTTTGTATCCTGCAGTTTTGCTGAATGTTATTTATTGCATCTGATAGTTTATCTCACAGAAACTAAAAGATTTTTAATATACAAGGTTATGTCATCTGCGAACAGAAAATTTTACTTTTTTAAAAATTGGAATATGTTTTATTGTTTTACTTGCCTTATTGTTTTAACTAACTAGAACCTTCAGTACTATATTAAATAGAAGTAGTAAAAGCAGGCATCCTTGATTTTGCTCTTAGGGTAAAAGCTTTCAGTCTTTCATTATAATGTTAGCTGTGTATTTTTTTAATATAACCTTATGTTAAGGTGTTTTATTCCTTTTTATAGCTTATTAAGTATATTTTATCATGAATGTGGGTTAAATTTTGACAAATTCTTTTTCTTCTTTGATTAAGATGATCACATGAGGGTTTTTTCCTTCTTTATGTTAATGTGATATGCTGATTTTCATGTGTTGGAACATACTTTTATTTCAGGAGTCAATTATACTCATTCATAGTGTATAATCCTTTTAATGTACTGCTAAATTTGAATTGCTGGTATTTTGTTGAGGATTTTTGCATCAGCATTTGTAAGGGATGTTTGTTTGTAGTTTTCTTATGGTGCCTTTGTCTGACTTGGTGTCGGGGTAATACTGTCCGCATAGAATATGTTAGAAAATGTTACCTCCTCTTCAACGTTTTGAAAAAGTTTGAGAAAAACTGGTGTTAATTCTGCTTTAAACGTTGGGTAGATTTCAACAGTGAAGCCATCTTGTCCAGGCTTTTCTTTGTTGCTGGGTTTTTGATTACTGATGTCATCTTCTTGGTGAATCTCCTTGCTGAATAGGTTTATTCAACTTTTCTGATTCAGTCTTAGTAGGTTTTTTGTTTCTAGGAATTTGTTCATTTTATTTAGGTTATTCAATTTTTTAGTGTATAGTTCCTTATGGTACTCTCATACATCCTTTTTTTACTCCAAAAATTTGTTAGTAATGTACCCATTTTATTTTTGAGTTTAGTAATTTGAGTATTCCCTTTTTTTCCTTAGTCAATCTAGATAAAATTTTGTCAGTTTTGATCTTTTTCAGAGAACAAACTTGGTTTTGTTGATTTTTCATATTGTTTTTCTCTTCTCTATTTCACTTATTTCCACTGCTGTCTTTATCATTTTTAAAATTTTGCTAGCTTTTAGTTGTCCCTCTTTTAGTAGTCCCTCTTTTTCCCTCTGTTTCTAGTTCCTTAGGAGTAAAGTTGTTTATTCGGTATCTTATTTTTTATCATTTATAGCTATAAATTTTTCCCTTATGGTATTGTTTTTGATGTATCTCTTTCAGTATTTCATATTTTTAATTTGTCTCTAGATATTTTCTATTTTCTCTTGTGATTTCTTTTATCCTTCCTTGAGTGTTTATACCTATATTTTCAGACATAAAATGTGAAACCTACAAAATTTTCTTGATTTGTTACAGTTTTATTTGTTGTAAGTTTTTATTTTAGAATTAAATGTGTGTATCAACATTTGTTATGTTCTCATAAGCTTTGTAATACAGGGAGATTCCTGGTCCACATATATAAGCCTCTACATGAATATTTTTTTGAAGCATTTAACCTTCTGTTTTAATATTTCAAAGGCCTAAATGAAATTGAGATTTTGGTTTCTGAGATGAAATCATGGTAGGTGATTGATAAATGCTTAAAAATTAGCCAAAACTTAAAATTAAGTTAAAGTTTACCTTCAAGATTCAACCTGAATGAGTTGCCCTGTATTGCTGGTAGTAAAAAATAAGTCTTTAATGGTATAAAAGCAAATTTCAGAGAATGTTTTTTTCCCCATTGACATCTAAATTAAAAGCTGTAAAAAATTTTGATTGCCTTATGCATTTTTTACTTTAGAATTCCAACTTTTTCTGGTTAAAATTATTCCAAATAGATTCCTGTGTATTTGAAAGACAATTTTTTAGTTGAAATGCTTAAGCAGTTAAATAAGGCCATGAAAGTTTCTTGAACTTGTGGGAATCCATGAGAAAATCTGACATTATGTTCTATTCTCTTGGAAGGTAGAAATATCATTTGACTTCTGTTTTGCTGACAAGAAATGTGGTCCTGAGGTCCTGAGCAAGGCTACCTGGGATAATGACCTCACACATGGAAAACGCTGGAGCCCATCTGTCTCCAATCTGCTGTTTTCCAAAAATTAGGGAACTTCAGTTTTCCCTTTGATACTCTCTGTTTCTAACAACCCCAACGCCAGGGCTGTCCTGCTTCTACAAGTGACAATGACAAATATAGGCCTGAAGGAAGATGAGCTGATGGCATTCCCAGCTTACTACCACTCCTTGGGGGCCTTATCTCACATATGTTGATTCAATTCATAGACTCAGGTGGGTGAGGATCTATTGTTCAGCTACATTAGAAGTGACTGCTTAAGACTCTGGTGTGTGGTGAAATGAGGCAGAATTTTCTCAATGGAGTGTTGGGAGAAGTTTCTCCTTATAATTACCGTCTTACTATCACTAAATCATAGCTCAAATAAGGAAATTATTCAAGAAGAAATAGAAATGTAATCTTATGAAGACATAAATTTAGAGATTTGTGGAAAGCCCTTCATAATTTCATGGTGTTCTGTTTGAGCTGGGATTATAGTTGATATTTCATTATAATATATTAGCTGTTCTAGACTTTATGCATTTATGTAAAGTTTTCTTTGTTGTACTTTAAGTTCTGGGATACATGGGCAGAGCATGCAGGTTTGTTCCATAGGTATACACGTGCCATGGTGGTTTGCAGCACCCATCAACCTGTCATCTACATTAGGTATTTCTCCTAATGCTGTTCCTCCCCCAGCCTCCCACCCTTTGACAGGCCCCAGTGTGTGATGTTCCCCTCCCTGTGTCCATGTGTTCTCATTGTTCAACTCCCACTTATGAGTGAGAACATGCAGTGTTTGGTTTTCTTTTCTTCTTTTTCTTTTTCTTTCTTTTTTTTTTTGAGACAAAATTTCACTCTTGTTGACCAGGTTGGAGTGCAATGGCATGATCTTGGGTTACCGCAACCTCTGCCTCCCGGGTTCAAGTGACTCTCCTGCCTCAGCCTCCCAAGTAGCTAGGATTACAGGCATGTGCCAAAATGCCTGGCTAATTGTGTGTATTTTTAGTAGAGATGGGGTTTCTCCATGTTGGTCAGGCTGGTCTCAAACTCCTCACCTCAGGTGATCTGCCCACCTTTGCCTCCCAAAGTTCTGAGACTACAGGCATGAGCCACTGCTCCTGGCCTGGTTTTCTTTTCTTGTGTTAGTTTGCTGAGAATGATGGTTTCCAGCTTCATCCATGTCCCTGGAAAGGACATAAATGTGTAGTATTCCATGGTGTATATGTGCCACATTTTCTTTATCCACTTTATCATTGATGGGAATTTGGGTTGGTTCCAAGTCTTTGCTATTGTGAACAGTGCTGAAATAAACATACAGTGCATGTGTCTGTATAGTATAATAATTTATAATGCTTTGGGTATATACCCCGTAATGGGATTGCTGAACCTTGAGGAATTGTCACACTGTCTTCCATAATGACTGAACTAATTTACACTCCTACCAACAGTGTAAAAGCATTCCTATTTCTCCACAGCCTCATCAGCATCTGTTGTTTCCTGACTTTTTAATAATCACCATTCTAACTGGTGTGAGATGGTATCTCACTGTGGTTTTGATTTGCATTTATCTAATGACCAGTGATGATGAGCTTTTTTTCATATGTTTGTTGGCTGCATAAATGTCTTCTTTTGAGAAGTGTCTGTTCATTTCCTTTGCCCACTTTTTGATGGGGTTGTTTTTTTTCTTGTAAATTTGTTTAAGTTCTTTGTAGATTCTTGATATTAGCCCTTCGTCAGACAGATTGCAAAAATTTTCTCCCAATCTTTTGGTTGTCTGTTCACTCTGATGAGTTTATTTTGCTGTGCAGATGCTCTTTAGTTTAATTAGATCCCATTTGTCAATTTTGGCTTTTGTTTCCATTGCTTTTGGTGTTTTAGTCATAAAGTCTTTGCCGATGCCTATGTCCTGAATGGTATTGCCTAGGTTTTCTTCCAGCGTTTTTATGGTTTTAGGTCTTACGTTTAAGTCTTTATTCCATCTTGAGTTATTTTTTTGTATAAGGTATAAGGAAGATGTCCAGTTTCAGTTTTCTGCATATGGCTAGCCAGTTTTCCCAACATGATTTATTAAATAAGGAATCCTTTCCCCATTGCTTGTGTTTGTCAGGTTTGTCAAAGATCAGATGGTTGTATGTGTATGGGCTTATTTCAGAGTTCTGTATTCTGTTTCATTGGTCTATGTGTCTGTTTTTGTACAGTACCATGCTGTTCTGTTTACTGTAGCCTTATAGTATAGTTCGAAGTTGGGTAGTGTGATGCCTCCAGCTTTGTTCTTTTTGCTTAGAATTGTCTTGGCTATTTGGGCTCTTTTTTGGTTCATGAGAATTGTAAAATAGTTTCTTCTAATTCTGTGAAGAATGTCATTGGTAGTTTAATGGGAATAGCATTGAATTCTTTTATAAATTACTTTGAGCACTATGGACATTTTCATGAATTAATTCTTCCGTATCCATGAGCATGGAATGCTTCTCCATTTGTTTGTGTCCTATCTGATTTCTCTGGGCAGTGGTTTGTAGTCCTCCTTGAAGTGGTTTTTCACTTCGCTTGTTAGCTGTATTCCTATGTATTTTATTCTCTTTGTAGTAATTGTGAATGAAGTTCATTCATGATTTGGCTACTTGCCTGTTGTTGGTGTATAGGAATACTAGTGATTTTTGCACATTGATTTTGTATCCTGAGATTCTGTTGATGTGGTTCATCAGCTTAAGAAGCTTTTGGGCTGAGATGATGGGGTTTTCTAGATACAGGATCATGTCATCTGCAAACAAAGATAATTTGACTTCCTCTCTTCCTATTTAAATGCCTTTATTTCTTTCTCCTGCCTGACTGCCCTGGCCAGAAATTCCAGTACTACGTTGAATAGGAGTGGTGAGAGAGGCCATCCTTGTCTTGTGCCAGTTCTCAAGGGGAACGCTTCCAGGTTTTGCTCATTCAGTATGATATTGGCTGTGGGTTTGTCATATGTGGCTCTTATTATTTTGAGGTGTGATCCTTCAATAGCTAGTTTATTGAGAGTTTTTGACATGAAGGGATGTTGACTTTTATTGAAGGCCTTTTCTGCATCTGTTGAGATAATCCTGTTGTTTTTATGTTTAGTTCTGTTTATGTGAGGAATTACATTTATAGATTTGCCTGTGTTGAACCAACCTTGTATCCCAAGGATGAAGCCATCTTGATCGTGGTGGGTCAAGGTACCCTTATCAGTCTTAAGTTCAGTCTTTTTACATAATCCCATATTTCTTGAAGGTTTTATTCATTCTTTTTTGGTCTTTTTTCTCTATTGTTCTCTGTTCTTTTTTCTCTATTCTTCTCTTCCTGTCTTAGACAGATGGTTTTGAAGCTCTGAGATTCTTTCCTCCACTTGGCCTTTTCTGCTAGTGATACTTGTGGTTGCATTGCGAAGTTCTCGTGTTGTGTTTCTCACCTCCATCAGGTCAGTTATGTTCCTCTCTAAACTGAATATTCTGGTTATCACCTTCTGTAATTTCTTTTATGATTTTTAGCTTCCTTGCATTAAGTTAGAATGTGCTCCTTTAGCTCAGTGTGGTTTGTTATTACCCACCTCCTAAAGCCTACTTTTGTCAATTCAGCCATCTCAGCCTGGGGTCCGTTCTGTGCCCTTGCTGGGGAGGTGTTGTTGTCATTTAGAGGAGAAGAGGCATTCTGCCTTTTTGAGTTTTCAGCGTTTTTGTGTTACGTTTTGTCATCTTTGTGGGCTTATCTACCTTTGATTTTTGACATTGCTGACCTTTGAATGGGGTTTTTGTGGGGTCTTTTTTGTTGATGTTGTTGCTTTCTGTTTGTTTTTAACTGTCAGACCACTCTTCCCTAGGTCTGCTGTGGTTTTCTGGGGGTCCACTCTGGACCCTCATCACCTCAGTCTCTCCTGCACCTGGAGGTATCACCAGTGAAGGCTGCGAAACAGCAAAGATGGCGGCCTGTTCCTTCCTCTGGGAGCACCAGTCCAAGGAGGTACCGACTTGATGCCAGCTGGAACGCTCCTGTAGGAGGTGTCTGGAGACCCCTGTTGGGAGGTCTTGTCCAGTCAGGAGAAACAGGATCAGGGACTGCTTAAAGAAGCAGTCTGGCTGCCCTTCGGCAGAGCAGGTGTGCTGTGGTGACTCCCAGGAGTCTCCAGAGCCAGCAGGCTGGAAAGGCTCAGTCGGCTGAACTGGGGAGACAGCAGCTACCCCTCTCCCTGGGGACTTCATCCCAGGGAGAAATCAGAGTTCTGTCCATAGAACTCTGGCTGGAGTTGCTAAAATTCCGATGGGGAGGCCCTGTCCGGTGAGGAGGGATGGATTTCGGTCTCACTTAAAGAAGCAGCCCGGCCACGGTCAGTCACAGCAGCTGTGCTGTGTTATGGGGGACTCCTCCTGGTCCCTGGTGCCAGCAGGCTAGAGCGGCCAACTCAAACCACAGATAGAGTGGCTGCCCTACCCCGGGAACCCGGTCCATCTCCGGCTGTCTCCAGCCTGCTGCTGCTGGCCAGCTGGAATTCCAAGCCAATGGGACTTGTGAGGTGCTGTGGGAGTGGGGCCTCAGAATGATGTCACTTGGCTCCCTGGATTCAGCCCCCTTCCTAGGGGAATGCACGGATGTATCTTCCGCTTTGCTGGAATTCTCGGGGCAGAGGATGCAAAACTCCTGGGCTTTCACGCATGCCCCAGTGAGCCAGCGAGCATTCCGCCCAGACTCCACACAGCTCTGTGCTTCAGACCCAAGGCCATGGCTGAGCTCACCAGGGGACCTCCTGATCTGCAGGTTGCAAAGATCCGTGGGAGAAGCACGGTTTCCCGGGCAGAGTCGCACAATCCCTCACCGCCTCCCTTGGCTGCGAGTGGGGGCGCCCCTAGCTCCGTGCCACACCTGGGTGGGCCATCGCCCCACTTGTTTTCCTCGCTCTCTGTGGGTCGAGCTGTCTGCCTAGTCAGTCCCAATGCAAGAACCTGGATACCTCAACTGAAGGTGCAGAATTCACTCGCAGTTTTTACTGCTCTCCGTGAGAGCCGCAGGCCACAGCTGCTTCTAATAGGCCAGCTTGGCCCCATCTAAAGTATGATTTCTTAATACATGAGATGTTTTAAATACATAACAATATTTATCACAAATAATATTTTGTCTCAGTGTGATATAAAAATTGCTAATAAATCAATTCTTTTTTGGTTACCACAAAGCTTTCTGGAAATGTAACATCTGCCATTTAGAAAATTTTTGTAGAGTTAATAGAATTTTACCTGAAGGGAGGCTGGCAATATGCATCATAATTTCAAATATTGTATTAATTGTTTTGTAATTTTGTGTTTTTTAAAACTAAACTTATTAAATTGGTTGTATATTACTTTAGGTAGCACTATTTGGTGATGAGAGAATAATAATTTGCAAAATATAAGAGTTCCTTATTATAAAAATGTCCTCTGTTTTATATTACTACCACTTCCTCTGAAAGTTTAAAATTGTAATTTTCTAATTAAATTATATATTCCCAAATGTGACTTGTAAATGTTAATATTTACAATTTTAGGGTTTTTTTTTTTGGCATTTGGTAGGGATAGGGTTTTCTGGTGTCTATGCTTCTTCAAAATAAAAGGTAGAGAGAATGGAATCAGGAAAGGTTAAAACGCAAAGGAACACAATGTTGATGATAGAGATTGTTCATTTGCGGCTGGCCAGGGCCTAATAATATCAAGAGGAAACATGATCAATAGAAAACCTGCATGTCCTTGAACAATATAGAATTTTTAATTTCTCTTAAAATTATTCATGATAAAAATCTCTGTACTTTGTACATTTAAGAGAGAGAAAATCAGAGGGCAGGGGCCTCCCTGATCCTGATAAGAGCGCCCAAAGCACAAAGGATGTGTCTTTATCTCCTCCCAACTCCACGGTGGAAACAGTTGCTCTGGTTATCTTATTGCAGTGATGCACAGAGACATGATGGTCAAAGAGCTTGCACACTTTAAAAAAGAAACGTTGGCTGGGCGCGGTGGCTCACTTCTGTAATCCCAGCACTTTGGGAGGCCGAGCCGGTGGATCACGAGGTCAGGAGTTTAAGACCAGCCTAGTCAAGATGGTGAAACCCCCTCTCTACTAAAAATACAGAAATTAGCCAGGCACGGTGGCAGGAACCTGTAATCCCCGTTACTTGGGAGGCTGAGGCAGAGGAATCGCTTGAACCAGGGTGGTGGAGGTTGCAGTGAGCCGAGATCTAGCCACAGCATTCCAGCCTGGGTGACAGAGTGAGACTCTGTTTAAAAAAAAAAAAAAAAGTTATATTATGTTGAGATTAAAAAAAATAAATGACATGATTTGTCTACAGATCTTTATTACTCTACCTCATTTACATTAAATTTATGAACAAGTTAAATAATAACACACAGGGCTTTTATTATTATTATTGTGATAATTTCTTTGTCAACATTATTTTTACCATGTTGTATAAACAGCATTGTAAGACCTGTGACTGGTCATTGACAATATATACAATATGTGTATATTTGTACGCAGGATCTAGCTCTGTCATTCTTGCTGGAGTGCAGTGGCACAATCACAGATCACTCCAGATTCAAACACCTAAGGTCAAGCCATTCTCCCACCTCATCCTCCCTAGTGGCTGGGACTACAGGCATATGCCGCCACAGTCGGCTAGTTTAAAAAAATTGTAGAGACAGGGTCTTCCTATGTTGCCCAGGCTAGTCTTGAGCTCCTGGCCTCAAGTGATCCTCCAACACTGGCCTCCCAAAGTGCTGGGATTACAGGTTTGAGCCACCGTGCCCTGCCTGCTCATATATTCTTCAATAATGAGATAAGAAAAACCTATCACCAGGCAGGATTTTTAGAGGTTTCCAAAACTGGAACATATGACTTGTGATCAAGCCCTTCCACTGTTTTCTGTCTTTTATCTCTGCAATAACAGTTCTACTACTGTTTTCCTCAACCAGCTAATAATTAAATGTCTCGAGATCGTAAATGTCTATGTTTGTAAACATCATGATTCTGGCTGTACCCTGCATTAAGTTAGATTGTCAGAGAAATTGAGATGTATTTTAGTTATTTGGTTATTATCTTATAATTATTCTTTTGGCATTTCTGCATTTCACAAGGTTCTTTTCATGGAAATATCTAGTTAGAAAGAATAATACTTTTCTAAAATTGTGAGCTCAGTTTCTCGGTTGCCAACTATTGCCACTGCACTAACCAAACTTCCTTCATCTGTCACATGAAATTGTCATAAACACTTTATGTTGTTGATAACCAGTGATAGGTCTCACAGTGCCATTTATAGAATATGATCAAAGTAGTGGTGACTAAGAAATTGTCAATATAATAATAAAACAGCCCAGTATTTTATTATATAAGTTGTATATACATTTAATTTAAGCCAGAGTACAAAGATCTGTAGACAAATCGTGCCATTTAAAAAAAATCTCAACAAATTTGACATTATTATGAAGATGAAGAAACAGATTTATCAAGCTCTATTTTCTTTAAATTATTTTTTATTATACTCTCTTTCTTTGCTTCACACATCTGATCTAAACATCGGCAGTGTTTGTGATCGGTCTTTTGTTTTGGTACATTTAATGGTGTTATTTTCCCCACAACTACTCATGATTATATATATGCTTAGGGACTTACACAATTTTGAAGGTTAATCAAGCACAGTTAGAATGAACTTGATTTGCATTGTCTGTCTCTGAGAGTGGTCAGGGACTTCACCCTCAGCCCAAGGACATTCTGGTTGCCACGTCTCCTGGTGAGAGCTGAGATGTACATCCTGATTTATGTTTTTAATGTATCATATGGGACTCAGTTTTCTTTTATACTCTTACCAACCCATATGACCTCTAAGGATTTTTATTTTATTCTTTTTTCCTCACATCTGTACTATGTTATTGTAAATCCTATGATACTTTTAAAATGAATGTGTCAGATTTACTGAAAGAAAATATAAGGAACACAGTAAAGTTTAAAATTGGGATGAGCAATGAATAACATTTTAGTATAGCTAAGCAATATTTGCATATTTATGTGTAATGTGTTTAAGCAAGTATTGGAAGATATTTATACAAATAATAACATTACCCAAAATTCAAATTGAGTCAACTGTCTTATAATTTTTTAATTTTTAATTTTTGTGGGTACATAGGTGTATATATTTATAACATAAATGAGATGTTTTGATACAGACATACAAAATTAAATAATCACATCACAAAGAATGGGACATCCATCCTCTCAAGCATTTATTTTTCGAGTTGTGAACAATCTAATTACACTTTAAGTTATTTTAAAATGTACAATTATGTTATTATTGACCATTGTCACCCTATTGTGCTATCAAATAGTGACTCTCATTCATTCTAATTATTTTTTGTACCCATGAGCAATGCCCACCTCACCCTAGCTCCCCACTATCCTTCCCAGCCTTTGGTAATCATCCTTCTCTCTATGTTCATGAGTTCAAGTGGGTTGATTTTGAGATCCCACAAATAAGTGAGAACATATGATGTTTGTCTTTCTGTGGCTGGCTATTTTGCTTAACACAATGATTTCCAGTTCCATCCATGGCCTTGCAGATGACTGGTTCTCATTCTTTTTTAGGGCTGAATAGTACTCCATGGTGTGTATGTACCACATTTTTTAATCCATTCTTGATGGACACTCAGGTTGCTTCCAAATCTTAGCTATTGTAAATAGTGCTGCAACAAACACAGGAGTACAGATATCTCAACATACTGATTTCCTTTCTTTTGGGTATATACCCAACAGTAGGATTGTTGGATAATGTGGTAGCTTAATTTTTAGTTTCTTGAGGAACCTCCAAACTGTTGTTTATAGTGGTTGTACTAATTTACATTCCCACCAACAGTAAATGAGGGTTCCCTTTTCTCCAAATTCTCGCTAGCATTTGTTATTTCCTGTATTTTGCATATAAGCCATTTTAACTCCAGTGAGATGATGTCACACTTCAGTTTCGATTTGCATTTCTCTATCAATGATTTTGAGCACCTTTTCATATGCCTGTTTGCCATGTGTATGTCTTCTTTTGAGAAATATATCTTCAAATCTTTTTGGCCATTTTTGACCAGGTTATTAGATTTTTTCTTGTAGAGTTGTTTGAGCTTCTTACATATTGCAGTTATTAATCCTTTGTCAGATGGATAGTTTGCAATCATTTTTTCCCATTCTGTGGGTTATCTCTTCACTTTCTTGGTGTGTTATACTTTATTTTTCATTTATTATTTTTATTTAATTTTTTCATAAGTTATCGGGGTACAGATGGTATTTGGTTACATAAGTAAGTTCCTTAGCGGTGATTTGTGAGATTATGGTGCACCCATTACCCAAGCCGTATAGACTGCACCATATTCGTAGTCTTTTATTGCTCGCCTCCCTCCCACTCTTCCTCCCAAGTCCCCAAAGTCCGTTGCATCATTCTTATGCCTTTGTGTCCTCATAGCTTAGCTCCTACATATCAGTGAGAACATACAA
The DNA here is from genome assembly GCF_000001405.40 of Homo sapiens. NCBI lineage: Eukaryota > Metazoa > Chordata > Mammalia > Primates > Hominidae > Homo > Homo sapiens. The sequence goes on along the minus strand of NC_000010.11, from coordinate 23,006 downwards.
TGTTGAGTTTTCCATTCCTGGGTTACATCACTTAGAACAATAGTCTCCAATCTCGTCCAGGTCACAGGAAATGCTGTTAATTCATTCCTTTCTATGGCTACATAGTATTCCATTATATATATCTATATCTATATATCTATAGATATCTATATATATTTATCTATATCTATCTATCTATCTATATATATATATCTATATATCTATCTATATATATCTATCTCACAGTTTCTTTATCCACTTGTTGACTGATGGGCACTTGGGTTGGTTACACGATTTTGCAATTGTGAATTGTACTGCTATAAACTTGCGTGTGCAAGTATCTTTTTTGAATAATGATTTATTTTCCTCTGGGTAGATACCTAGTAGTGGGATTGCTGGATCAAATGGTGGTTCTACTTTTAGTTATTTAAGGAATCTCCACATTATTTTTGATAGTGGCATACTAGTTTACATTCCCTCCAGCAGTGTAGAAGTGTTCCCTGTTTACTGCATCCACGGCAACATCTACTGTTTTTTTATTTTTGGGTTGCAGGAGGTAAGGTGGTATTGCATTGTGGTTTTGATTTGCATTTCCCTGATCATTAGTGATATTAAGCATTTTTATTTATGTTTGTTGGCCATTTGCATATCTTCTTTTGAGAACTGTCCATTCATGTCCTTAGCCCATTTTTTGATGGGGTTGTTTTTTTCTTTCATACTGATTTGTTTGAGTTTGTTGTGGATTCTGGATATTAGTCCTCTGTCAGATGTATAGATTATGAAGATTTTCTCCCACTCTGTGGGTTGTCTGTTTACTCTGCTGACTGTTCCCTTTGCCATGCAAAAGCTCTTTAGTTTAATTAAGTCCCAACTATTTATCTTTGTTTTTATTGCATTTGCATTTGGGTTCTTCATCATGAAATCCTTGCCTATGCCAATGTCTAGAAGGGTTTATCCAGTGTTATTTTCTAGAATTTTTATAGCTCAGGTATTAGGTTTAAGTTCTTAATCCATCTTGAGTCGATTTTTATATAAGGTGAGAGATGAGAATCCAATTTTATTCCCCTACATGTGGCTCACCAATTATCCCAACATCATGTGTTGAAAAGGGTGTCCTTTCCCCACTTTATGTTTTTGTTTACTTTGTTGAAGATCAGTTGGCTGTAAGTATTTGGGTTAATTTCTGGGTTCTCTCTTCTGTTCCATTGGTGTATATGCCTATTTTTAAACCAGTACCATGCTGTTTTGGTAACTGTGGCCTTATTGTACAGTTTGAAATCAAGTAGTGTGATGCCTCCAGGTTTGTTCTTTTTGCTTAGCCTTGGTTTGGCTACATGGCTCTCTTTTGGTTCCATATTAATGTTAGAATCGTTTTTGTAATTCTGTGAAGAATGATGGTGGTGTTCAGATGGGGATTGCATTGAATTTGTAGATTGCCTTTAACAGAATGGTAATTTTCACAATATTGGTTCTACCCATCCATGAGCATGGGGGTGCGTTTCCATTTGTTTGTGTCATCTATGATTTCTTTTCTTTCTTGTTTTTTTTTTTTTTTTTTTTTTTTTTTTTTCAGAGGGAGTTTCGCTCTTGTCGCTGAGGTGGGAGTGCAATGGTGTGATCTCGGCTCACTACAACTTCTGCCTCCTGGGTTCAAGCGATTCTCCTGCCTCAGCTTCCCGAGTAGCTGGGATTATAGGCATGCGCCACCATGCTTGGCTCCATCTATGATTTCTTTCAGCAGTGTTTTGTAATTTTCATTGTAGAGGTCTTTTGATTCCTTTGCTAGGTATATTCCTAAGTTTTTTTTTTTTTTTTTTTTTTTTTTTTTTTTTTGCAGCTATTGTAAAAGGGGTTGAGTTCTTGATGTGATTCTCTGCTTGGTAGCTGTTGATGTATAGAAGAGTTACTGATTTGTGTACATTTATCTTGTATCTGGAAACTTTGCTGAATTCTTTTATCAGTTCTAGGAGCTTTCTAGAGGAGTCTGTAGGGTTTTCAAGGTGAAAGATCATATTGTCAGCAAGCAGTGACAGTTTGACTTCCTCTTTACCGATTTGGATTTCCTCTATTTCCTTCCTTTGTATGATTGCTCTGGCTAGGACTTCCAGTACTATGTTGAAGAGGAGTGGTGAGAGTAGTCTCCTCGTCTTGTTCCAATTCTCAAAGGGAATGCTTTCACCTTTTCCCCATTCAGTATTATGTTGGCTGTGGGTTTGTCATAGATGGCTTTTATTACATTAAGGTATGTCCCTTGTATGCCTATTTTGCTGAGAGCTTTAATCATAAAGCAATGCTAGATTTTGTTGAATGCTTTTTCTGCATCTGTTGATATAATCATGTGAGTTTTTTTTAAATTCTGTTTATTTGGTGTATCACATTTATTGACTTGCATATGTTAAACCATTCCTGTATCACTGGTATGAAACCCACTTGATCTTGGTGGATTATCTTTTTGATATGTTGTTGGATTCAGTTAGATAGTATTTTGTTAAGGATTTTGGCATCTGCGTTCATTAAGGATATTGGTCTGTAGTTTTCTTTTCTGGTTATGTCCTTTCATGGTTTTGGTATTAGGCTGATGCTGGCTTCATAGAATGAATTGGAAGGGTTTCTTCTTTCTCTGTCTTGTGGAATAGTGTGAAAGGATTGGTATCATTTCTTCTTTGAATGTCTGGTAGAATTCTGCTGTGAATCCGTCTGGTCCTTGGCTTTTTTTGTTGGTAATTTTTAAATTACCCTATCAATCTTGCTGCTTGCTTTATTGGTCTGCTTGGGGTATCTAATTCTTCCTGATTTAAGCTAGGAGGGTTGTATTTTTCCAGGAATTTATCCAACTCTTCTAGGTTTTCTAGTTTATGTGCTAAAAGGTGTTCATAGTACCCTTGAATAATCTTTAATATTTCAGTGGTGTCAGTTGTAATATCCCCTGTTTCATTTCTTAGTGAGGTTATTTGGATTTTCTCTCCTTTTCTTGGTTAATCTTGCTAATGGTTTATCAATTTTATCTTTTCAAATAACCAAATTTTTGTTTTATTTATGTTTTGTATTTTTGTTGTTGTTGTTGTTGTGTCAATTTCATTTAGTTCTGCTCTGATCTTGGTTATTTCCTTTGTTTGCTGGGATTGGGTTTGGCTTGTTCCTCCTTCTCTAGTTCCCTGAGATGTGAACTTAGATTGTCTGTGCTCTTTCAGACTTTTCGACGTAGGTGTTTAGTGCTATAAACTTTCCTCTTAGCACTGCCTTTGCTGTATCCCAGAGGTCTTGATAGGTTGTGTCATCCAGTTCGAAGAAATTTTTTACATTTCCATCTTGATTTCGTTTTTCACCCAATGCTCATTCAGGAGCAGGTTATTTAATTTCCATGTATTTGCATGGTTTCGAAGATTCCTTTTGGAGTTGATTTTCAGTTTTATTCCATTGTGATGTGAGAGAGTGCGTGATACAATTTCAATTTTCTTAAATTTATTGAGACTCATTTTATGGCCTATCATATGGTCTATCTTGGAGAAAATTCCATGTGCTGTTGAATAGAATGTGTATTCTGTGGTTGTTGGATGAAATGTTCTATATATATCTGTTAAGTCCATTTGTTCCAAAGTATAGTTTAAATCCATTGTTTCTTTGTTGACTTTCTGTCTTGATGACCTGTCTAGTGCTGTCAGTGGAGTATTGAAGTCCCCCACTATTATTGTGTTGCTGTCTATCTTATTTCTTATGTCTACTAGTAATTGTTTTATAAATTTGGGAGCTCCAGTGTTAGGTTCACATATGTTTAGGATTGTCATATTTTTCTGTTGGATGAGACTGTCAGGTGACAGATGATATACTGTCTCTCTTTGTCTCTTTTAGCTACTGTTGCTTTAAAGTTTGTTTTGTCTCATATGAGAATAGTTACTGCTGCTTGCTTTTGGTGTCCATTTGCATGAAATGCCTTTTTCTACCACTTTCCTTAAGTTTATGTAAGTCGTTATGTGTTAGGTGAGTCTCCTGAAGGCAGCAGATAGTTAGTTGGTGAGTTGTTATCCATTCTGTGGTTCTGTATCTTGTAAGTGGAGCATTTAAGCCATTTACAACCAACATTAGTATTAAAAAGTGAGGTACCATTGCTTTCATCATGCTCTTTGTTGCCTCTGTACTTTGTTTTTGTTTTTTAACTTGTATTTTTGTTTTATAGGTCCTGTGTGATTTATGCGTTAATGAAGTTCTGTTTTGATGTGTTTCCAGGATTTGTTTCATGATTTAGAGCTCCTTTTAGCAGTTCTTAGAGTCCTGGCTTGGTAATGGCAAATTCTGTCAGCATTTGTTTGTCTGAAAATGACTGTATCTTTCCTTCATATATGATGTTTAGTTTTGCTGGATACAAAATTCTTGGCTGATAATTGTTTTGTTTGAGGAGGCTGAAGAAAGGGCCCCAATCCCATCTAGCTTGTAAGGTTCCTGCTGTGAAATCTGCTGTTAATTTGACAGGTTTTCCTTTATAGGTTACCTAGTGCTTCTGTCTCACAGCTCTTAAGATTCTTTCCTTTGTCTTAACTTTGGATAACCTAATGACAATGTGCCTAGGCTAAGATCTTTTTGTGATGAATTTCCCAGGTGTTATTTGTGGTTCTTGTATTTGGATGTCTAGGTCTCTCACAAGGCCATGGAAGTTTTCCTAGATTATTCTCCCAAATATGTTTTCCTGGCTTTTAGAATTCACTTCTTCCTCAGGTACACCAATTAGTGTTAGGTTTCATCATTTAACAGAATGCCAGACTCCTTGGAGACTTTGCTCATATTTTCTTATTCTTTTTTCTTTGTCTTTATTGGATTGGGTTAAATCAAAGACCTTGTCTTCGAATTCTGAATTTCTTTCTTCTACTTGTTCAATTCTATTGCTGAGACTTTCCAGAGCATTTCACATTTCTAAAAGTACGTCCAAAGTTTCCTGATTTTTTATTTTTTTATTTAAGCTATCTATTTCCTTGAATAATTCTCCCTTCACGTATTGTATCATTTTTTGGATTTTCTTGCATTGGGCTTCATCTTTCTCTGGCCCCTCCCTGATTAGCTTAATAACTAACCTGAATTTTTTTTTAGATGAATCAGTGATTTCTTCTTTGTTTGGATCCATTGGTGATGAACTGGTGTGATTTTTTGGGGGGTGTTGAAGATTCTTGTTTTGTCAGATTACCAGGGTTGGTTTTCTGGTTCCTTCTCATTTTGGTAGACTCTGTCAGAGGAAAGGTCTAGGGCTGAAGACTGTTGTTCAGACTCTTTCATCCCACGGGGTGTTCCCTTGACGTAGTACTCTCCCCTTTTTCCTATGGGCATGGCTTCCTGTAAGCCAAAGTGCATTGATTGTTGTCTCTCTTCTGGGTCTAGCCACCCAGCAGGTCTACGTGGCTTTGGGCTGGTACTGGGGGTTGTCTGCATAGAGCCCTGTGATGTGAACCATCTTTGGGTCTCTGAGCCATGGATACCAGCGCCTGTTCCAGTGGAGGTGGTGAAGGGTGCAATAGACTCTGTGAGCCTCCTTAGCTTTGGTGGTTTAATGCTCTATATTTGTGCTGGTTGGGCTCCTGCCAGGAGGTGGTGATTTCCAGAAAGCATCAGCTGTAGTAGTGTGGAGGGACTGGCAGTGGGCAGGGCCTTAGGACTCCCAAGATTATATGTCCTTTGTCTTCCACTACCAACTTAAACATTTGTGACAGTTTCAATATCAGAAATTTATGTGTAATCAAATTTATTCTGGTAGCTTATTTTCTTCTATGCTTCAATCTTTATAATTTAGTTCTCACATGAGGGAGATCTAATATTGGAAATATTTTCAATGTGTATGTTTATGTATTTATTCTAGTTGTCCAGGCACAAGGTTATCAATGTTGCTGTGTGACCAGCCATTGGCTTTTCACATTTACAACCCCTCTGAATTTTTTCTTGCCTTATTTCTGGTGCTGGGAAATTCTGATATTTTCTCCTCATCTCCATTGTAAATTTTAGGGATTCTTGAAACTTTTGATGCACAAACATCCACACTTTCCACATAAGTAAAATATTTTACTTAGATATTTTCTAGCAGACACTGAGTTCTCATGAGAAATCCTCAGTCTCTTTATTTGGAACACCTCCTCCCCAGTATTCCATATGGAGTAGTTATGTGTAGAATGTGATTACTTCATTAATATGTCAAAGTATGGATATATTTTGAACACATTTCTGAAGTTGTAATTCCTTTCTTGATGAATTGTACCTGCGCATGAGCAGAATTGATGTTTTCTGTGGAGCAGTAAGTTAGCACTGGTAGAATCTGTTCTGTGATCCCAGGTCCTTGGGCTCCAGTGTCAATGCTTCCTCCTTAGATCCTCCCTGACACTGCAAATTTACCTCAGTCCCTATTTCTTAATCCAATAGCCATTTAAATTGATCTTCAATTACTTTGTATGTGGCCAGATATTATTTATGGGTTATATTCTAATTCACATTTTTCTGATATAATTTCAGAGAGCCTAGAAAATATCACCTAGTGAATATCTACTTCCATGAGGTCAGTGACACATTTTTAGGTCTTCAACTTCAATATTTAAAATATTTGTCTCTGGAATTTGAAAATAATATGTATGCCTTTTTTACTGGATAAAAAGGCTAATCAGTTGTTCATCTGATTAGTAATCAAAGTTTCTAAAATTTAATACTTCATGTTACTTTATGTTTTATATAAATGTGTATTTCTATGACAGTTTTAGTGTCACCTAATATTATTTACAATGTTGTAATTTTTATTTATATGAATCTTTGTGTTATACATTTTAACGTCATTGGTATTAAAACTATATGTGCAAATAGCTTGAAATAGCACCTAACACATCATGGATTCTATGTAAATATTCACCACTCTATTTCATCACATTTTAACCAATTGATACCATTCTTCATTTGCTAACATTTTGTTTGTCTTCATTCTAATTTGTGTTGGTGTCCTGTCTACATATTAATAAAAGAGAGGAGGTAGGCCCAGACTTCCATCTTGATTAAATACTAAGACAAATGGCACATTTTCCTAGTTCTATTTATATACAACATTACATTTGTCTGACATTATAAATAAGAGTATTCAGTTCAGTACAGCAAAAAAAAAAAAAGTAATCTTAACCTTCCTACAACAGATGTTGGGATATTCATGGATTGTCCACAACTTCCTTCTCCCAACATTATTGTTATTCTTACATCTCAACTGCCATGAAAACCTAGAAGCATGAAATACTACAAATTAGACACAGATTCCCTGCTATACACAAAGTGTAAAATTAAATCAAGAAGAAAGAGAATATATGCGTACTTATACAGCAAGTAAACAGATTAGACTAATGAAAACTCTTCATCAGTCTAGCCCTGGCTCACATAGCTTCACTAGTGAATTCTATTAAACACTTAATGAATAACCAATCCTTCACAAACACTTGCAAAGCAGAGAAGCAGGAAAACATCAATTCATTTTCAAGGCCAGTATTACCCAGATAACAAATCAGACAAAAGTATCACAAGAAAATAAAAGTGCAGACTATTATCCCTCATGAATGAAGACAGAAATCTCCAAAAACTCTAGCAAACTGGATGAAGCAACACATAAAAATGTTAGACAAGCCTGGCATGGCAGTGCACATCTGTAGTTCCAGCTACTTAGGAGGCTGAGGTGGCAGGATCACTTGAGCCCAGGAGCTTGAGGTTATAGTGAGCTGTGACTGTGCCACTCCACCCCAACCTGGGTGACAGAGTGAGGCCTCATCTGTAATAAAAATGAAAGAAAATTAGAAAAAAGTTAGACAATATAACCAAGTGGAATTATCCTACCAATACAAATTTAAAAATCAATCAGTGTAATACATCATATTAATAGAATAAAGGAAAAGACCATGATGATTTCAATGGACGTCTGACAATGTCTGACACTCATTCCTGATAAATCTTCCAGAAATCTAGCAATAGAAATAACTTCCTGAACCCCCTAAAGGACATCCATGAAAATTTAATAAATTCCACTAAGGTATATTGAAAGGCATATTGATACTTCCAACCTTATGGTTTTAAAAATTAACAATGAAATGAGAACTAATAACAGTAATCTATCCATCTGCAAAACATTAAACACCTTTCTAACAATATTTCTTTTGATGTGATAAAGGTAAACATCCAAATTTAATAAGAGGAGTGCTTTTGAGACAACTGAAATTTGGTGTTCCTAATTTTTCTGACTTATTAGCAATTAGAATCTAATTATCAATAATGCCAAGAAGACAGGAGTACTCTCCAATGACATTAAAATGTATAACACAAAGATTTATAGTTAGGCATAATGTATAACACAAAGATTCATTGTTTGGCATAACAGCACTTCATATTTGAATCATCTAATAACATTGTCATCATTGCATATTCTCCTGGAAGTAACACACAATACAGACTTCAAAAAACCAGAGCTTTTGCTGGGGATATATGCTCCTTCCAAAGGCGATTGATTGTGTGCAATATTCTGAGAAGTAATTCCTCCAAAGGTAAAGTGTCGCTATCTGGGCTTCTGGGAATATCCCGAAAATCCACATATTCTAAAAATCTTTTCCACTACCAACCACCATAAATGCTGAACAACAGAACATGCGCTCAACTGCACAAATTATGCTTTGGGGCTTTTGTACACAGTTTTTGCACAGAAATATTTAAGTAAATATAAATTAATTGAAATGTTTTCCAGGTGGATATTGAGGGAGAAACAGAAAAATCCAAGACAATCCCTTGTGGAAGAAAATTCTCCAACCCAAAACTCAACCGAACTCAAAGGGCTGAACAGCGCGTCAATTAAGACCTGTCAAATATAATCACACGATCTAATAGTTTTAAATACGCAAAATAAAGAGCACCAAAGTAAATGTCATTCAGAAATAACAACAACAAAACCAGAGCACCCCGATGCATTTAGGCCTCAAGGAATTCCAAAGTAGTGTATTAGGTATAGTAAATATATATGTAATTAGAAATGTTTAGAGAAATTAGAGAGATGTGTTTTTTTTAAAAGATTTGGCCTATAAAACAGTTAACAATTCCAGTAAAGAAGAAAACAGAAATTCAATGTTTGATATACATACATAAAAATAAATTTCAGGAAAAGTCCGTGTGATAACAGAATCCAAATTATATAAAAGATAGAAATCTCAATGTTTGTTTTTACACATTTTAAGGAAAAAACAACCCTGAAAGCACAAAATGCAGAAAATACTGTTAATAAGTCTTGAGTTTTCAAGTCCCTCTCACTGGCTTTGGCACTTAGAGAAGAGCTAGCACAGGCTCAGGATCCCCTAATGGGCATTTCTGCCAAGGAGACCATCCTCATGAAAATGGAGCCGAAAGCTATGCGCACAAGATGGATGGATGCTCCTCTCCCAGAGACCAGCAGGTGCAGGTGTGCAGGGAGTGGGCCAGGGAGGGGCTGTGAGCACCAACCTGGGAGGGGTGGCTAGACCTCCATTGGATCCTCCTGTCCGCAGGGGCCTCAGAGGGTTCCAGCAGAGGCCAGTCCTAGGTTCCTTGTCCCATGGCTGGCCCCTGAGACTTGCTTCACCTGCCAGCTCTTTCCACAAAGACATCAGGATGGCAAACCCAACCCAGCCCCCTCACAGAGAAAGGGGATTAATGTCAGGGCCCACGGCCATCCTGGCCTTTTCAGTAACTGTTTAAATAGTGGATAGGTTAGGCCAGAATGTGCTGCTGTGGCCCCTGGGATCACATCCCTGGAGGGAACCTGCCTGGGGTTGTGAACTGAAGGGCGAGGCTGGACAGCCCACTTGGGGTTCAGTGAGCCGAGACTTAGTTTTCGGCTCAGTTCCCTCTGCCACTCCTGGGGGACTTGGGCTTGTCTAGAGCAGGCATTGAGGATGGCAGAGAGCAGAGATGCTGAGCTGTCAGGTGGGTGCCAAAGGGTGAGCATGAGGCATCCCGAGGGTTGGAGCCATCAGAAGGCCCTTAGGTCAGCCCAGAGCCATCCCAGCCTCTGTACCTGGAGCTGCAGGGTGGGCGCTGTGCAGTGGGCTGGTCAGAGTGGACTGAGAAGCCAGTTAGGGAGGGGTTTTCATTGCCCATTTTCCTGCGGTGCAAATCAAGTTCCGAAGGCCACAAGCGAGGTGGGGCAGAAACACTGGGCTGAGGCATCACCTTCTCTCCTCTTTGGCTCACATAGGCCCCTGACTTTCTTGGGCTTGCCTGAAAGTGAGAGAAGATCCCTCTTATTGTGCGGGTGGACACAGAAGTCACCAGTCACGTGTGATGAGGAGGGCTGAGGCACCCCCAGAGTCTTTGCAGGGCAGCACCCACTAATTGCTGGGTGGACTGGGAGGCCAGGCTGGGACACTGGGAACTGAGGTCACCAGTCCCCACTGTACCTCGAATCTGTCCCCACCGTGCAACATTGGGCCAGCTCAGGCTCTGTCACCAGCTCCCCACATCGTCGTCCCTCAGAGCCCTAGGGTGGGTTCCCCCTACTCAGTGTCTCTGGCCCGTGCTCTCCACTTTCAGGCCTGACAAGCACCCAGGCCCCACACCAGTGTCTTTCTGAGGGCGTGGGTGTTGGGATCGCTGGTACAGAACTCACAGCTTAGCTACATGTGTGTCCCAGACTTGCTTAATCAATGGAGCAGTGAACCCGCTGCTTCTGGGGTACAGTCTCCTGTATTTCATGGGTCAGGTAGACAGGCTGCCTCCCCTTCACCTCCAGGTGTGCGCACCCACAGTCATCTCCACCTGCAATCCAGTCTCATCTGAAGCTGCACGCTCTGCAACAGACGCCTGTGCACGACCTCGCTGTGCACACAGCAGGGGCTGCCCTCGGTCCCTCACTCTCCCCTAACGCCCCTGCCTCCCAGACCCACGACTCACAGGAGGAGCCAGTCCCCTAGCCCAGGGAGCCAGGGTGGGTGCGGCCTGGGGACTGGGCATGGCAAGCTGGCCCATAGGGTCGTCCCTAGCACCTACCAGAGAGTGTACGAGGGAGCCGAGCCTGCAGCGCCGGGTGGGCAGCGAGCTCCCTGGAGACCCATGCAGCGGGTCAGGTGCCAGCGGCCGCCAGGTCTGGGCGCGGGGCCGGGCCACCAGGGTGCGGCTTTCCGCTCTGGAGAGTTTATGGCCCCTGTCGTGGGACGGCTGCGCAGCCGCCAGGGAGGGACTGCAGGGACCGCGGCTGGGACAGGCTGCTGCGCCAGGCGGCCCTGGACCGCCGCTTCTGCCCCTAAGCCGCCGTCGCAGCCCAGGTGACCGGTTTGTCCTACCCGGGGAGCATCGCCCTCCTCCGCCGGGCCCGAGCCCGGCGTGGGGGTTGTAGGCCGGCACCACAGCGTGAGGACACCGCGACCTCTGCCCCCGGGAGCGCGCTGAATGCCAGGTGGGGCTGCTGTCGCAGGCCGTGGAGCCGCAGCCCCGCTGAATGGCAGGGTCAGGCTGGGCGTCGGGGTCCTGGCAGAGACCGCGGCGAGGGCCAGAGCAGGTGCACTGGCCGCTGCACACGCGCCGCTAGGCTCCCGGACACCGCTGGCGCGCCCCCTGGTGGCAGCCGGCTCAGGAGCCGCGGGAGGGCGGTGCCCAGTCCCCAGCCAAGCGGCAGCGCGAAGCTCCTTCCCCGCTTGGGGGAGTGGGCGTGGCCCAGGGGCCCGACTGCCTTACTAGTGAAAAAGCTGGGGTTGGAGCTGCCACGGGGGGAGGTGGGGGGCCTAGGAGGCTCTCTCTGGACCTTCTGGGTGTCCTCCTGCGACCTCAGGTTCTTCACCTGTCTCAGAGGACTGATGGGCTGGTATGGCAAGGTTGTTTGGAGGATTAAGCCAGATAGTCGCAGTAAAGCCCCATTAGCCCGTCTGGCCTCTGGATTTTTTTTTAAATTATTTTTCTGGCTTTCTTAGGAAACTTTCCAGAATGTGTCCAGGTGTTGAAGCGGGAAGGCTGGACACCCTCCCTTGGCGTTGCGGTTCCTTCCAGACGCCCCCTCTTCTTAGGCTCTTTTCAAGCGCACGCCCAGCAACGTGTGCTCTACCCAAGAGCGCGTCACAGATCTTCCTGTGGGTCTAAAACCAGAAGGCTTTCTTCCATGACCCCTGCCCTCATATCACCGCAACGCCATGTCTCTTGGCAGAGCCGGCTACAGAATCGAGTGTCAGTTTAATGCTTGTTCCCTAAGGTCTCCCTAGGGCTCTTATGACGGCATTAGGGTTCGGGTTCGGGCGCGCCCCTCCGCGCCTGCGCCGGCGCTGCGCGCCCCTCCGCGCCTGCGCCGGCGCTGCGCCTTTGCGAAAGTGAAGCTGTGTTCTCATCAGCAGAGACTCGCAGAGCATGGCGAGGGCGCAGCTGCGTTCTTCTCTGCACATATGTCCGGAGTACCGCGGAGGCGGAGCAGCGTTCTCCTCAGCACAGACCCGGGCGGGCGGGCAGTCCAGGGGCACCCCGAAGGCAGAGCTGCGTCCTGATCAGCACAGACCTTGCGGGCATTACCTCGCTTTGGGACAACTCGGGGCCACAGCGACGGTAAATAAAATTCTTCCTCTTTGCAGCCCTCAACAATCAGGGTCAGAGTCCAGTTAGAAGGGTGAGGGTTAGGGTTAGGGTTAGGGTTAGGGTTAGGGTTAGGGTTAGGGTTAGGGTTAAGGGTTAGGGTTAGGGTTAGGGTTAGGGTTAGGGTTAGGGTTAGGGTTAGGGTTAGGGTTAGGGTTAGGGTTAGGGTTAGGGTTAGGGTTAGGGTTAGGGTTAGGGTTAGGGTTAGGGTTAGGGTTAGGGTTAGGGTTAGGGTTAGGGTTAGGGTTAGGGTTAGGGTTAGGGTTAGGGTTAGGGTTAGGGTTAGGGTTAGGGTTAGGGTTAGGGTTAGGGTTAGGGTTAGGGTTAGGGTTAGGGTTAGGGTTAGGGTTAGGGTTAGGGTTAGGGTTAGGGTTAGGGTTAGGGTTAGGGTTAGGGTTAGGGTTAGGGTTAGGGTTAGGGTTAGGGTTAGGGTTAGGGTTAGGGTTAGGGTTAGGGTTAGGGTTAG